>NC_000009.12:34555454-34706969 GCF_000001405.40 Homo sapiens | reverse complement strand
AGTCCAGGCTGGAGTGCAAAGGTAGGATCATAGCTCACTGTAACCTCAAACTCCTGGGCTCAAGGGATCCTCCTGCCTCAGGCTCCAAGTTGCTGGGATTACAGGTGTGAGCCTCTATGCCCGGCATTTTCCCCTGGTGTAAGACATTTACAAAAGGCCTTTGACGTCAGGCTCCCTTTGACATCAGGACATCACTCCCAGCCCTGCCAAAACTCTTGCCTACTCTATAGTGAAAAGAAAAACATAGGCAGAAAAAACAAAACTCTCTATTTCACTAAATTCTCCTGCCACACCTGCATGCCTGGTATTTGCCTCAAGCCCTGCTCTGAGTAAGCATGCAATATATTATTTATTCCATCAGATCATGACTGGCCACTCTCCTTGTCTGCCTTCATCTTTGACAACATTGTCCTGTTCTTTCTCTTTTCTCTCTTATTCTCTTGATGCATAATTCAAAAAATATCACATAATACACACTCACAGTTAAAAAATATATCCAAAAGTACCAAAAGGTTTATTCTGAATAACATAATTTCCTACAACTTTAACTCCTATGCTATTTCTTAGTGCCATATGTCTAAGTACTTTGCCTATACCTCTGTTTCTTGATTTACCTATTTTAAACATTACCAGATGACTTCCTACTATAAAAAGTGAAGATCTAACTCTCTTGCCAACTCTCCTCTCCTGTCACTGCATCCTCTAAATATAGTCATACCATAATATTTAGATCATGATTATATTACCATATTTAGATCATAATTACAGTTTATATTATTGTGGATTACTATTACATAATATGTATTATCACATATTACATTATTTTGACTATATAAATGTTCTCTGCAGACAAAAGTAGTGCACTTTTCCTTCGTCACTCATCTTTTTGTTTTTCTTAAAGGTTCTAATGCCCTTCCCTTTTTAAAATACCTCTATCTTGACATTGCCTTTCAAATTCTTCATCATATGAGATGGATTCAAAACATAATGTTTAAGATATACGTAGAAGAAAATATAGGTGAATGTGGTTATAACTTCGAGGTATAAAATAACTTTTTTTTAAAATAAAATGGAGACCAGGTCTCACTATATTGCCCAAGCTGGTCTTGAACTCCTGGGCTCAAGCGCTCCACCCGCCTCAGCCTCCCAAAGTGCTGGGATTACAGCCATGAGCCACTCTGCTTGGCCAAAAAGAGTTTCTTAAACAAGTCATAAAACCATAAAACGTAAATCATTAAAGATCAACACCATTAAATTTAAAAACAAATCGGAGTTCAGGGTAGGGATGGAAAATTAATTACATGCCTTTATTTTCACTTCTCACTGAGCCCCGACTAAAACTACAGTAAATTTTTTTGGTGCATGTATGCGTGTAAAGGCATAAAGCAAGGCCAGGCGCAGTGGCTTACGCCTGTAATCCCAACACTTTGGGAGGCCAAGACGCTCACTTCAGCTCAGGAGTTTGAGACCAACCTGGGCAACACAATGAGACCTCGTCTGTACAAAAAATAAAAAAAAGTAGCTGGTGTAGTGGCATGTGCCTATGGTCCCAGCTACTCAGGAGGCTGAGGTGGGAGGATCACTTGAGCCTGGGAGCCATATAGCCTGGGCTAAAAAGTGAGAGACCCTGTCTCAAAGTAAATAAATTAATTTTAAAAATAAAATAAAGGCATAAACCCCCAAGAGCCCAAATGGGAGAGGAGATAAAGGTAACTTTCCAAAAGCCTACTGCTGAGACACGTAAATATTTCAATAAAAATAGATACAAAGCATAAAATCAAATTATAAATATGAAGGATTTCTAATGTCTTATTCGTGAATACAGTAAAAATTCATATTTACTGAATATTCATATGCCAGTATCCAACAGGGAAACAATGACTTCTACTAGAGATGTAAAAAAAAAAAAATCCTAAAGATGAATTATCTCTAAAATCTACAAAATCTTCATTCCTTAAGCATGAAAACTCATTTTAATCCCTGGAATCCTGACTTTTCTTTATCACAGAACCACAGAAGCAATTTATTGCTTTAAAAGTGAGTTATCACTATGTTCTAACAATGAGTCCTCCTCAGTGTCATCCAGAAAATTACTAATACCATGTATTTTTGTTGTTTTTATTTGCTCCTTTTTTGAGATAGGGTCTTGCTCTGTCACCCAGGCTGAAGTGAGTGGCGCAATCTCAGCTCACTGCAACCTCAACCTCCTGGGCTCAAGCAATCCTCCCACCTCAGCCTCCTGAGTAGGTAGGACTACAGGCACACACCACCACACCCAGCTAATTTTGTTCATTTTTTGTAGAGACGAGGTCTCACTATGTTGCCCAGGCTGGTCTTAAAACTCCTGAGCTCAAGGGATCCTCCCACCTTGGCCTCCCAAAGTGCTGGGATTACAGGTGTGAGCCACTGTGCCTGGCCATACCATGTTTTTAAATAATTTCACCACTATCTCTTCCACAAAATGATAACATACACACACACACACACACACTAATGAAATCATGGGCTGACTCCCACTTGTCAGTGTTGCCTCAGAATCTCCTCCTGCTTCTCCCGGTTCACTCCTTCCTTGTCAATATTTTAAGGGCTTCTTTGATACAGATATAGAGGATAGGTGGGACTAGTAAAGAATTAGAGCTAGCTGGGCATGGCAGCTCACGCCTATAATCCCAGCACTTTGGGAGGCTGAGGTGGGCAGATGGCTTGAAGCCAGGAGTTTGAGACCAGCCTGGGCAACGAAGCAAGACCCCTGTCTCTACAAAAAAAAAAGAAAGAATTAGCCAGGCACGGTGGCACAGGCCTATTGTCCTAGCGACTTGGAGGCTGAGGTGGGAGGATCACTTGATTGCCTAGGAGTTCGAGGCTGCAGTGAGCTATGATCACACCATAGCTGATCATAGTGGAGCAATACCCCACCTTTAAAAAACAAAAAATTAGAGCTAATAGATCTCAGGCCAGGAACCGTGGCTCATGCCTATAATCCCAGCACTTTGGGAGGCTGAGGTGGGAGGATCTCTTGAACTCAGGAGTTCGAGGCTGCAGTGAAAAACAAACAAGCCTCAGTTAGTCCTATAAACCTGAAACCAATTCCAAAGTAAGCAGTCGGCCAGGTGCGGTGGCACACACCTGTAATCTCAGCTCTTTGGGAGGCAGAGGTAGGAGAACGGCTTAAGCCCAAGAGTTTGAGATCAGACTGAACAACATGGCAAGGCCCTGTCTCTACATTTTATTACAAGAAACTTTTTTTTAAGTGAAAGCAAGTTTATTAAGAAAGTAGAGGAATAAAAGAATGGTTACTCCATAGGCAAAGTAGCCTACAAAAAAACTCTTAAAGAGTAAGCAATCAGATTTCTTAAGAACCCCTCCCTTCAGGATACTTGGGCCACACTTTGGCTGGCCACAATTCCTACTTATTAATGATATCCTTTTAGAGGGCTGTGATTACCAACAACTGTCGGGTTCTTTCTTTTGATACCTTTCTTTTAAAAATTAAAAATAATGGGCTGGGGGCAGTGGCTCATGCCTGTAATCCCAGCACTTTGAGAGGCCGAGGCGGGTGGATCACCTGAGGTCAGGTGTTCGAAACCAGCCTGGCCAACATGGTGAAACTCCATCTGTACTAAAAATACAGAAATTAGCCAGGCATGGTGGTGGGTGCTTGTAATCCCAGCTATTCGGGAGGCTGAGGCAGGAGAATTGCTTGAACCCAGGAGGTTGCTGTGAGCCGAGGTCACACCATTGCGCTCCAGCCTGGGCAACAGAGCAAGACTCCGTCTCAAAAAAAAAAAATTTAAATTATGGGGCTACCAGAATGACACACTAGGTATCCTCTACCATGCCAAATGACCTAGTGGGAGTCAGAGGGGTGGGGTCTGTCACTTGTTGTCTATGAAAGGTGACATTAATTTGTTTCCCAGCTATAATCGCTTACCTGTGAAATATGTCTTAAGCTTCAGCTGGTATCCTTTGTGAAGTTCTTTTTCTTTCTCACATCCAGGCATTACTTCTCCTTGTATCTGGGGACAAAATAATGCTGTTTTGTTAAAGTCATCAACGTTTCTATCCTTTGCCATCAGTCTTGGGCTGGATTACCATTTTTATGGATGCTGAAATTGCCAACTCTCTTTTTTTCTAACGCCTATATTTGTAATTCTTTTTTTGAGACAGGGTCTTACTCTGTTGCCCAGGCTGGAGTGCAATGGTGCAGTAATAGCTCACTGCAGTCTCCAACTCTTGGCCTCAAGGGGTCCTCCAGCCTCATCCTCCCAAAGTGCTGGGATTACAGGCAAGAGCCACTGTGCCAGGCCTATATTTGTAATTCTTCTAGTAGTGCCTACTTTAAGGGGAATTGTATGACCTTGTGACCTTGGTGACCTACGTCTATTGCTATGTCAAGAAGCTGAAAGCTCTGTTTTCTTCAAGACAACCATTTCTCAGTAGGCAGCAAACTAAAACACCCCAGAGAAAGTCTGTTACCATATTCTTTGAGACTTTTGCTTTAGAATCATGGGTTGTGGTAATAATAAATTTCAATCCAATATTAAGAGAATAACTGAACACCACTTGTGAAGGCCTAAGCAGCCAGCGCCAGCTTCTGCTCGGAGTATCCCCTGCGCTGTGTGAGCCTCCGCCTGCTGGGAGGCGCTCACTGCCCCGCTCGGCCACCAGGAGGCAGCAGTCCTCTGTCTGCTACAGGAAAACAGGAGTGGGGGTTGAATTTTCCATTCTCATTTCCTTCATCTTTCTAGGACCAATTTGTTTTCAATTATTTTCACGATTTGTTCTCACATGTGTCTCATTCTAGGCCAAAGGTTGCGCGTTTCCCTGTGTCCACTTATGGGCAAGACAAGTTCCTTTTCCGCCCATGTCAGGCTATAGCCCTTCATCCTCCAGCCCCAGCCTCGCGCCTAATATATTTCCTTGGAATAAGGAAACCTTTCTTAGCGTTGGCCCCGTAATGAGTGGTGTAAGATATCTATCGGGTGCGAGCGAAGTGCCAGAGGTGATGTGAACCCTCCTTCAGCCTTTAAGCCAAACAGTAATTATTTCAAGACTTCAACATTGGGCACCTTGGGCTCTGGGTAAATCGGGACTATTTGGGGCGTGGGAGGGAAAGATAAATGCTTCATATTCGCCGACAAACACGGGCCTTCCCCCGGCCACCGGGCTGGGCCGGCCCCGCAGAGGACCCCCGAGGCTCGGGGGCCTGGGTGGCAGGGGTTTGGCCGGACGGCGGTGTCCTGGCCCGGGGTAACTGTCGGCCCAGGTCATCGGATGCGCGGGCACCACCCACAGCCCGAGCCTCCCCTCCATACGCCCGGCCCGCGCGCGGGGACCCCAGGGACGGCGGGGCCAGGGAGCCGGGAGGGCGCCAGAGGCTGTTCCAGGCCCAGGGACTTCGGACGCCCGCTCACCGCAGCCTCTCTGAGGAGCTCGCAGGGTCACAGCCGCATGCGCCCACCCCTCTGCCGCAGCCGCGCCCCACTCCAGAGCCTCCCTTCCCAGGCTCGGGGCGCCCCCTGCAGGCCCAGGAAGGGAGATGCATGGGCACGCTCACGGGCGCGGACACACATCCGCACACATGCCCCGGTCGCCCAGAGCCCCACAGACACAGTTCGGGATACGCACATTCATGCATGCGACATACACTAACCATCTAGTCCGGGTCCTCTCCCTACAGTCATTCACCCACCCCGACCCCCACCACGAACTTGGTTGACTCCCCTGCCCCAATGGCTAGTACGCGCGCATTCAGGATCTCCTACCCCTGGGGCGGGGATTTGGCCAGACCTGGAGCACGAAAGTTGGGCAGGCTCCTTGAAAAAAGGATGAGGCTAGGCTGGGCTGAATGGGTTGATCGCCCTGAGCTGGAACAAGATTCCCAGGACTCAGGCTGAACCAAGAACCCTGTATAAACGACTTGGCTGGGAAGAGGGTGAACAAGGCGAAGCACGTAGCGCTGATGCCTCTGTACCTGTGGTCAGAAACTGTTTCAAACACCTCCCTGACCTCCAGTCCCCCACCCCCATTGGATTATCTAAACCAACAGCTGTGGGTAGGTGCCTTAAACACTTCACACACCGGGCCTGTGTCCTTTCCCTTTTTGCCATGATAGTGGGTACCTTCGGAACACCCTGACTGCCACCTCCTTCCCTGATTCCTGTTTCTCTTCCTGATCTGTTCATGTTGGAGAGGTCCAGGACTTAGAACTTGGACCTCTTCTATCTACACTCACTCTCTTGGTGACCTCATTGTCTCATACCTTTAAGTACCATCCATTTACTCCCAAATGTGTGTCTTCAGCTAGAATCTCTTCCCTGAACTCCAGACTCATCCCAGCTACCTACTTAACATTTCCATTAATATGCCCAACATGCAGCTTCAACTTAAGTCTATACCAGGGTCCTGATCTCCCCACAAACCCACTCCTCTTCAATCATCCTCATCTTGTTAACTAAAATTATATCCAAGTTTCTCAAGTCAAAAATTTTGCAGTATTCTCTCCTCTTCTTTCTCTCATATCCTATGCTGAACCCCTCAGCAAAGTCTATTGGCTCTACTTTGTTTCCAGAATCTGAGCACTTCTCACCAACTCCATGCACCATCATCTCCTCCCTGGATTGTTGCAACGGCCTCCACCCTGGTCTCCCTGCTTCCATTCTTGCACCAGTTTGATCTACTCTCCATTCAACAGCTAGAGCGAGTTTATGTCACATCATACTTGTTCAATACCTTCCAATAGCTCCCCATCTCACTCCGCGGAATATAACAGTGGCCTACAAAACCCTGTGTTATCTGGCCCCTGTTATTATCTGACTGTATATCTCCTACCACCCTCCCCTTTTGGCCTCCTTGCTATTCCTCAGATACACTCTTGACTCTTTGCCCTTGCTGTTTTCTCTACCCAGAACATCTTCCCACAGACCTCTGCATGGATTTCTCCCTCACCTTCATCAGGTCAGCTCTCTGCTCAAATGTTATTAGTAAAGGTTTTCCTGACTGCCTTATTTAAAATAACCCCCTCCCTCAATACTCCCTATCCCTCTTGCCTTCTTTATTTTTCTTCATAGCACTTATTGCCATCTGAGATAGTATAGATTTTTCTTGTTTGCTTATTGTTTGTCTCTTTCATTAGCATAACAACTCTGCAAGAGCAGGAACGCGTATCTGTTGTGCTTACTGCTGTATCTCAGTGCCAAGAACGGTGTCTGGCACATAGGAGGCCCTCAATAAATATTTATTGAATGAATGTGTAACAGATGCCTTCTTTATTATTATTTCATTATTTCACCCTTTCCTGCTGATTCTCAGGGTCCTTCCCAACAGGCACTCCAGGCAGATGGTATTGAAATTGAATTAAAACCTCTCCGCCAGCTTTGCACTATACGATTGTGTCATTTAGGATCTTGGCAGGAAACAAATGGCATGCTCAAAAAGGGTTAATGGAAAATAATTTAGTGAAGGGACCACTTACAGAGGTGAGAGCAGGGTTGTTGCAGGCAGCCACTGCACATGAATTAGTATAGCTCCAAACCTCAGACCATCTCTTCTTCTAGGCAAAGTGTACACTAAATGTACTGCCCCAAATTCTGCCCACTGAGAGGACTTCCCTTAACCACTGTATTTCAGGACCATCCCTGGTTGGGGCTGTAATCAGCTGTCTCTTCCAGCTAATGCCAGCATACCTTACAGATCCTCTGTTAACTGTTTGTAGAGAACATCTCCATGAAGCTGTAAGTGTGATCAGAAGAAGAAGCAGAAAACAACACAAGTAGGAGTCCAAGCCATCTGGCCATGCTTTATTCATACCTTCTGAAACTTCTAAGGTCTGGTCTCATATATACAATTCATTTCATAATGAATGCTGCTGTGCACATCCAACTATATGATTTGCTTAGATAGCACCCTTAGGTCACGTTGTCACTGGATGAACTATAATCTGAGTTTTAGACCAGGGCCCCAAGGCCTATCAAGAGCTGCTTTTCAAATAGAAAAGAACTGTTAGCAGAAGAAGCATGGCCTTACTCCACTACACTAAGATTCTTTGCTTTAACTCTCCTACTAGGGCTCCTACAGCACACCCTTATCTGCCACAGATGACATGAAGTTCACTGGATTTGTGGGTCATTCAGCCAGAGCAGCAGGGCAACTTTCCCCGGAGCCTGGAGCTCATTCAAAACTATCAGCTTTGGCTGGGCACGGTGGCTCACACCTGTAATCCCAGCACTTTGGGAGGCCGAGGCAGGTGGATCACCGGAGGTCAGGAGTTCAAGACCAGCCTAACCAACATGAAGAAACCCCATCTCTACTAAAAAGACAAAATTAGCCAGGTGTGGTGGTGCATGCCCGCAGTCCTAGCTACTCAGGAGGCTGAGGCAGGAGAACCACTTGAACCTGGGAGCCGAGATCGCGCGATTGCACTCCAGCCTTGGCAAACAAGAGTGAAACTCCGTCCCAAAAAAGAACAACAAAAACAAACTGTCATCTTTATGAGCCTTTATGCAATAATCCAGCCATTTTGCAGTAGTACATTTTGCAGTACATTTTGCAGTAGTACATATAAATACAGTATATATTGCCTCTAAAACCCAAAATGCTCTGGAACGTTATGCCCTAGATGACTATTTTTCAGCTTGTCCCCATCTCCATAGCCTGGAAATTTCACCACATCTTGAAAAACACTGACTAGGAGGAAGATTTATAGAATCCGCCTGTGAAAGAGATCCAGGATCCCCCAGCCCCCCACCCAATCAAGAGGATTCAGTTCTGGGAAACTGGCTTAAGTCAAAAACTGGGTAAGACTGTAAATCCTTAATATAATCTGAAAATCAAGTTTCTGTTTACAAGGTCTAGAATTTTTCCACTTGTATGGGTCGAGTAGAACATTAGTAAGCTGTCCATCTATTTCATTACTAGGAACACCATGATTAATTAGCTACCACCACATATTCCTATGGGGCAAAGCACATGATTACCACTCATCCCTACAGATTTCATAGTAATTTCACTCACCTTATCACTCATGGTTAGGTGGTAACATCTGTCCTCTACCACGCAAGAATTCCATCATTCACCTTGAAATAAGCCTGCCCAGTCCCAAGAGAGCATCTCACAACCTCATGTCTAGCCTATTAAAGAAGCCACACAGTGCTTTTCAAAGAGTTGGTGTTCCCCTCACTAATGTGTTCTTGTGCCTTGAAGAAGAATCTTTCTGGGCCCTTCGGAGGTGTACAAAATAGGTAATTTCAACATTTATTTCTAACCTTTGAACCTCTTCCTCTACTTTACTATTCAAGGTATAGTCCAAGGACCACAGCATCAGCATCATTTAAAAGTTTGTGAAACGTGAAGGCTGGGTGCGGTGGCTCAGGCCTGTAATCCCAGTACTTTGGGAGGCCGAGGCAGGTGGATCGGCTGAGGTCAGGAGTTCAAGACCAGCCTGGCCAACATGATGAAACCCCATCTCTACTAAAAATACAAAAGTCAGCCGGGCATGATGGTATGTGCCTGTAATCCCAGCTACTTGGGAGGCTGAGGCAAGAGAATCGCTTGAACCCAGGAGGTGGAGGTTGCAGTGAGCAGAGATCGTGCCATTGCACTCCAGCCTGGGTGACAGAGCAAGACTCCACCTCAAAAAAAAAAATTTGTGAATGTGAAACATGAAACATCCTGGGCTTCACTACAGACCTACTGAATAGAATCTACAGTTTAATAAGATTCTCCTAGGTGAATCATGCACACATTAAAGTTTGAGGAGTTCTACAACAGGCCAGCGAGGTTCTAGCACCTCAGCCTCACTGATCACAGGCCACTGTCAAATCCAGGCTTCCAGGAATCAACCCAACAGAATATTAACACAACTCCCAGGTGCTCAGCTAATATTAACACAATGATACCCAAATCCTACATGAGAACACCTATATCAATAAATTTGTCCTCACTGGTTCCTGGGATTCTCCCAGGACAAGTTGACAAGTTCCTGCAAATTTCCCAGCACCTACGCTCTTGCTCTTGGAGCATATCCTGTACTTTCCTGTCCAGACAATGTTAGGATTAAACTTGCTACGGGCCTGGAGACTCTGAGGGCTGGTCAGGGTGGGTCCTGAGGGAAAAAGGCATGCCTTTTGCCAGAGAGTTATTATCTAACGGAAGGGAAGGTTGGATCCTTCATGGTTTACAGGGGAAGGGGGAATTATCCTCTGCCACCAAGGAAGATTCAGGGGGATTTGAAGGTCCAAAGTTCTCAGCTTTGTTCATCTCTGCTCAAATGTCACCATTCCAAGTTTCAGAGTCCTATGCCTTCCCAACAGTGCCTTTATTCCAGGATAAGGGCATCATCACTCATACATGAATCCAAGACACTCGGGTCTTGGATCTGATCCTCAGCCATATCTGTCATGTGGCCACATACAATAAACATTCCTTAAGACTTCCATTTGAGTTAGAAGTTCCTGGTCTAAACTTTTTTTTTTTTTTTTTTTTTGAGATGGAGTCTTGCTCTGTCGCCAGCCTGGAGTGCAATGGCATGATCTCTGCACACCGCAACTTCTGTCTCCCGGGTTAAAGCGATTCTCCTGCCTCAGCCCCCTGAGTAGCTGGGATTACAGGCACTCGCCAGCGTGCCTGGCTAATTTTTGTATTTTTAGTAGAGACAGGGTTTCGCCATGTTGGTCAAGCTGGTCTCAAACTCCTGACCTCAAGTGATCTGCCCCCCACAGCCTCCCAAAATGTTGGGATTACAGGCGTGAGCCACTGTGCCTGGCCTAACCTTATCTTTTTTATTGGAATTTTACTAGCACAATCAGAAATGGCCAGTGAGGTTCTGGCCTCAATATAGTACTATAGTAACAATATAGTAATCACCATTTGCAATCATCATTTGTGACCATAGTAAGTAAGTGCCTCAGGTACTTTATCTCCTAATGTCTTGACTTCCAACATTTCATCCATGCCTCACGAGTGATAGTCTAAGTGACTGTGATGCTTCTACGTGCTCCAGATTACTTGTGTCTTCTTTTTCCAACCACAGAGACCATCCATGCCCTCATCAAGGGCAAGCCAATCCTAGAATCCCATTTTGGGAATCTATGTCCTGGTACTGCCAATTATATCAGTGAGGACCCTGGCAGGAAACAGATAGCACACTCCAAGGATACAGGGAAAACCATGTTTCCCTACTCTCTACTCCCTCTCACCACTCAATACTTCTGTGACCTCTGGGTACCCATAAGTGTGTGGGGATTTCTCCCCACCAAGAAATTATCTGGCAGACAGTTCCTCAGTGGACACCAGATGGGTGTCCCCTAATTCAGTTCAATTCTGACATCATTTACCTGGAGGTAGCATCAGATCCCACAAGTTGAGGGTTCAGTTCCACAAGACTGCCCCCCTACTTCAGATACCAATTGCAAGCACAGAGTGTGGCCTATGCTTCTGACTGACCAGCTATAAATAAGGGTTTCCACAACCCACCTGGGGTTCAATTAATTTGCTACAGCGGCTCACAGAAGTCAGAGAAACACTTACTTATGCTTACCCATTTATTATAAAGGATATTACAAAGAACAGATAAACAGCCAGATGAAAGGGATGCATAGAGTGAGGTATGGGGAAAAAAAGGTGTGGAGCTTTCATGCCCTCTCTGGGCACCCTCCTCCAGAACCTCCATGTTTTCAGCTATCCAGAAGCCCCCACCCCAACTTAGTCCTTTCGGGTTTTTAATGGAAGTATCAGTACCTAGGTATAATTGATTACATCATCAGCCATTGGTTTATCAACTCAAGTTTCAACCCCTCTTCCCCTACCCAGAGGTGGGGAGTGGGTGGGACTCCCCACCACTACAGAATGTTAGAGAATGTTCCAACTCTCTAACCATGTGGCTGGTTCTTCTGCTGACTAGCTCCCATCCAGAGGCTGTCTAGAGGCCCCCAGCCACCAGTTATCTCATTAGCATACAAAAGACACAATCTCTCCCAAGATTCCAAGGATTTTAGGAGCTATATGTCAGAAAAGGAAGATGAAGACCAGATATATATTTCACAATATCACATACACTCAAAAAAAATTTAACTGGAAAGATTTTAATAAAGGGACAATTTAAGAGATTAGGTCAGGATTAAGGAACTAACATGGGATGATAGGCAGTTGGGGTCTAGCAATGGTGAGAAACCATTATCATACAAAGGCTTGAAGGGGCAAGAGGAGGGAACAGTGTTTCCAAAGCCTGTCATCCCAGCACTTTGGGAGGCCGAGGCGGGTGGATCACCTGAGGTCAGGAATTTGAGACCAGACTGGCCAACATGGTGAAATCTCATCTGTATTAAAAGTACAAAAATTAGGCCGGGCATGGTGGCTCACGCCTGTAATCCCTGCACTTTGGGAGGCCAAAGCAGGTGGATCACCTGAGGTCAGGAGTTCAAGACCAGCCTGGCCAACATGATGAAACCCCATCTCTACTAAAAATACAAAAAACTTAGCTGGGTGTGGTGGCGGGTCCCTGTAATCCCAGCTACTCAGGAGGCTGAGGCAGCAGAATCGCTTGAACCCAGGAGGCGGAGGTTGCAGTGAGCTGAGATTGTGCCATTGCACTCCAGCCTGGGTGACAAGGGTGAAACTCCATCTCAAAAAAAAAAATTAGCCAAGCGTGGTGGTGCGTGCCTCTAATCCCAGCTACTCGGGTGGCTGAGGCAAGAGAATTACTTGAACATAGGAGGCAGAGGCTGCAGTTAGCTGAGACTGTGCCACTGCACTAGAGCCTGGGTGACATATTGAGACTCTGTATCAAAAAAAAAAAAAAAAAAAAAAAAAAAAGAATAGAGATAGACCCGTGGAAGGGAGGCAACCCAAAAGGATCACTGTAGATCAGTGGGCCTCAATCTGTAGACCACTTTGGGAGGCCAAGGTGAGCCTTGGGATTCTCCTGCCTCAGCCTCCTGAGTAGCTGAGTAGTCAGGAGTTGAGATGGGGTTTCACCATGTTGGCCAGGCTTGTCTCAAACTCCTGTTCTGGATAAACAAAACTTAGGAAGTTCATTAATAGTACATCTGCCCATAAGAAAAGCTAAAGGGAGAAAGAAAAAACAAAAAACAAACAAAGAAATGCTAAAGGGAGACCTTCAGAATGAAACAAAAGGACAAAAAGTAATAACTTACAGCCACACAAAGAAACAAAGATCTCTGATAAACATAACAACATAGCAGGCCAGGCGTAATGAACTTCTTGGATATGTATATACATACTTTTCATCAGATTTCAGATGTTTTGTCATTATTTCTTCAATTTTTTTAATGCCCTGTTCTCTCTATTCTCCTCCTGAGACTCCTGTGATGAGGTATATTTGATGGTATCCCTGAGGCTCGTTTGGATCTCAAACTTTAGCACATATCAGAGTCACTTGGAGGGTATGTGAAAATGCAGTTTGCTGGACCCCATCCTCAGAGTCTCAGATGTGGTAAGTGGGAAGTAAAATCTAAGAATTCGTGTTTCTAACAAGCTCCCAAGTGATGCTGCTGCTGCTGCCCAAAGGCTACTCTTTGAGAACAACTGCCACAGGGGAAATTATTCACTGCCAGAACTGCAGCAAGATGAAGGATTTGGGGAATTAATACCCCTCTCTCCTTCCACCACTGATCAGTTGCTGCTTCCCATGGGCCAGCCCCAAACAGAAGCCAGAAAGCAGGTGACCCTAAGTAATGCTATCTGCAGAGGTCAGCCTTCCAGGGAGCAGAGCAGGGCCGTGAAGAGTGGAGAATGGATAGGCTGGGGCAAACAGAATAACCAGAACCATCATGGACAGAAGAATGGATAGATCAATGGAAAGAGGGGTGGATGGATGAATTAATGAACAGATACCTGAATAAAAGGATAGAAGGCCAGGCACGGTGGCTCACGCCTGTAATCCCAACACTTTGGGAAGCGGAGGCAAGCAGATCATTTGAAGTCAGGAGTTCGAAACCAGGAGTTCGAAACCAGCCTAGCCAACAAGGTGAAACCTCACCTCTACTAAAAATACCAAATTTAGCCGGGCATGATGGTGGGTGCCTGTAATCCCAGCTACTCAGGAGGCTGAGGCAGGAGAATCCCTTGAGCCCAGGAGGTGGAGGTTGCTCTGAGCCAAGATCGTGCCATTGTACTCCAGCCTGGGTGACAGAGTGAGACTCTGTCTCAAAAAAAAAAAAAAAAAAAGGACAAAAGAAGAACAATGGCTAACAGAGCTTATTGTGCGTCAGCCTCTAAGCTAAGGGCTTTACTCAGGGTTCCTCACTTAATCCTAAGAAGTAGATCTTCTACCATTCCCATTTTACAAATAAGGACACTAAGACACAGAAACTGGAGAATTTTCACCTTGTCGCAGTTAGTAAGTGGTGGAATCTGAATCCCAAGCTAGGCGCTCTGTCTGCAGAGTCTCCCTCCTCTGCACCGTGACTACCCGTGCTGTGCCATGACCAAGTGGCAGACAGGCGGTGTGGAGTGGAGGTAAAGACTGCAAACCCTAGAGCACACCTGGGTCCAAATCATGCTCCAGTACTTACTAGCTGTGTGGCTTTGTGCTCTGAGCCTCATGTTCCTTATGTGTAAAATAAGAATAATAATGTGAAAATAAGAAAAACTACATCAATGGTATTGTTTTGGGAAAGTTAAGCAAGGTAATAGTGGTAAAGTCCTTGACATAGAGCCTAGCACATAGTAAACAATCAAAAATACCATTACTATTATTATGATTAATGAATGGAAAGAAGCTAAGTCAGAAATTTAAGAGGGAAATGTTCCCCCTCCCTCTCTCCATCCAAAAGAGGGTCTAGGGTTTGGGTGACGACGGGTGACTGGGCGTTTCACATTTAGTTTCTCTTTCAAGGCCTTCTCTTCTGACCTTTCTCATAAGGATGGGAAGTCACTTGTCCCCTCCCCCATCGGCCGATTCCTTGAAATTTTAAGATTTGTCTGAATATGAGCTGGCCAGCCCCTCTCCTTAGAAATCCCCTCTTGGTTCCCAGGACTGAGAAAAGGGGGAAAATGAAGGGGGCTATTCCAAGCCAGTCTCCCTCCAGCTGTTCCTTTGACCCAGGTGTTGGACATAGGAAAACAGTAAATAGAGGAAGGGGAGGGTTTGCTGAGCCCCAGAGGCCTGAGATGTGGGATGGGGGTCCTGGGCCTCCTCCCAAGGTACCTGGCCTTTCAGCTCTGCTTGCCCCAAGGGAAGGACTGGTTCCCACATAGTGGGCAGGCACAGTGATGACCTTGGAGGCCACCCCAGGATCTCATGGTTGTCCTGAGGGTGCCAGGGAGCCTTCTTCACCACCAGCCCAAGAAAGAAGCACCAGTGAGGACAAGGGATAAACCTAAGGAAGGGAGCACAGTTCCTCACTGTGGGCCCCACCTTTGACCATCACTTCTGAACCCCAGCTTCATGGTTGATGATGCAAATGCCATCAATGGGATGACAGGGCAATCCCTCTCTCTGGAGAAACAGTGCACAGCCCCCTTTACTGGGCCAGACTGCAGACTTAAGTTCTCAGAGCAGGAGCCAAGGAAAGCAGAAGGAAAGGGCAACCGCAGGGGGAAGAAGGGGGGCAGGGTGCGATTCTGCCAGAAAGAGGGGGGCAACAGGGGAATCACAGAATGGGACATGAAGGGGAATTTCAGGCAGAGAAAGTGAAGCTCTGGCCATAAATAGGAGTCAGCTGCAGGGCTCACATTCCCAGCCTCACATCACTCACACCTTGCATTTCACCCCTGCATCCCAGTCGCCCTGCAGCCTCACACAGATCCTGCACACACCCAGACAGCTGGCGCTCACACATTCACCGTTGGCCTGCCTCTGTTCACCCTCCATGGCCCTGCTACTGGCCCTCAGCCTGCTGGTTCTCTGGACTTCCCCAGGTAAGGCTGAAGGGAGAGTCAGGGTCAGAGGCAGTGGGGGGCTGGCAGTGGGTAATGTCTAGATCTCAGATTGCTTGGCACTGGACGTAAGGGACATGGTGAGTTCAGGCAAATGCTTAGGTCTGTATATTTCGGTGAGCCTGGCAGGTCCCTGCATGTGTGCCTGTAAGTGTGGGTGTCCCTGTGCCCCTGAATCCCAATGCGGGTGTGTCTTTTAGCACATCCTGGGGCCTATGGCTGTGACTGTCTCTGCAAGCTCTATTTCCTGCTGCCTCCGTTTCCCAGGCAGAAGGAGATTTGCTTAAGGTAGGGAGAATGGCAGACACTAAGCCAAGGCTGATATTCAAAAATTTTAGCAATTAATAAGGCTCCTAACACCAGCCTACCCTACCCCACGCCCCTCCCACACTGTGACCTGCATTAACTCTTTACTTGCTGGATTGTCCTGGGAGAGAGGTTGGGGTGATCAGGGCAGCAGGAAGTCATTTGTGGGGCTCAGGGCAGTGGTTATTTACAAAACAGTTTAGAAGTATGACAATATATTTAGCAACCAGTAGAGCCAGAGCCATATTGGTGCATAATGGCTGAATACCAGGTCTAACTCCTCCCCGACCCCACCAGACACACACACACACACACACACACACACACACACACACACACACAGGTGTCCTCAATCCGAGCTAGGGCCATGGCCATGCCACCCTCAAGGGTCCCTGTGTCCTGTCACCTTCTTTCCCCATCCCAGCCCCAACTCTGAGTGGCACCAATGATGCTGAAGACTGCTGCCTGTCTGTGACCCAGAAACCCATCCCTGGGTACATCGTGAGGAACTTCCACTACCTTCTCATCAAGGATGGCTGCAGGGTGCCTGCTGTAGTGTGAGTTGTGGGGAGGGTGTCTAGCCTCATCTCCCGTTTTAGCCCCTGTTGAGACTCCCACCTTCTTATTCCCCTTCTCCATGCCAAGCCCAACCCCTTCAAGGAAATCCCTGAAACAGGTTCCCAGACATGGTCCCCAGGCATGCTGGATTCTGGGGCTCCATTCTCTCCGGCCTCTCACCCCAGGTTCACCACACTGAGGGGCCGCCAGCTCTGTGCACCCCCAGACCAGCCCTGGGTAGAACGCATCATCCAGAGACTGCAGAGGACCTCAGCCAAGGCAAGCCTGGCCCTCCCTGGCCCTGTCTCCTCCCTCTGAGCTCCTGTCTAAGATTCCAGCCCATGATCCTTCCTCTCCTTCCTCCTCTAGATGAAGCGCCGCAGCAGTTAACCTATGACCGTGCAGAGGGAGCCCGGAGTCCGAGTCAAGCATTGTGAATTATTACCTAACCTGGGGAACCGAGGACCAGAAGGAAGGACCAGGCTTCCAGCTCCTCTGCACCAGACCTGACCAGCCAGGACAGGGCCTGGGGTGTGTGTGAGTGTGAGTGTGAGCGAGAGGGTGAGTGTGGTCAGAGTAAAGCTGCTCCACCCCCAGATTGCAATGCTACCAATAAAGCCGCCTGGTGTTTACAACTAATTGATCACAACCTGTTACAGATTTCTTTGTTCTTTCTCCACTCCTACTGCTTAACTAGCCTTAAAAAAAAAAAAAAAGGCACCTGGCACCCATAGATCTGTCTGCTGTCCGTTTGCTGTCTAGCCAGGTGGACAGGAATAGGAAGGGGGAGGTGGAATGGCAGGATCTATTTTCTCTTCTGTGGCCTAGGGGGTCTCCTTGCTCACCTCCACTTAACAACCTGATGCTCTCAGGATCAGCCTCATTGCTTTCCATAGTTCAGCGACACTAAGCTTGGGTCAGTTCCCTGAATGAGCCAGCGTCTCATGCCTCCCACTCTTTGCTCTCCAAGGCAGGTGTTCAAGCATCCAGGTGTCTAAGGAATCCAGTGTCACTGGGGGGAAGGGAGTTGTGGGGAACCAGCTCTCACGGCTGGGGGAGGTGGAGTGGGGCAAAGGGCCCAGCTCTACTGCCTGGGGGAAAATACCCATCCACCCATGCCCTTCCCTTGGTCTGGCACACTCTTCTCTCTCCTCTGCCCACCTGGCTTCCCATCTGGGTCCAGACGCCTCTTCCTCCAGGAAGCCTTCCCTGACCCCAGGCTGGGTTAGGTAGCCTCCTGCAGTGGCCCCTCACAGCATTCATCACCCTGACTTATAGTTGCTGGTTTGTCCAAATTTGTCCATGTTCTTGGACTGGGATCACATCTATTTTGGGTTCCACTGTTTTTGTGGTGTCCAGCATGCTGCTTGGCACAAGGCAGTCCCTCAATAAATATTTGTTTAGAGAATGAATAAATATGTGAGGAAAGGCTCAGCAGCCAGGGCTGAGGGTCCATCTGTTCATTCTGTCCATACAGAATCTGACCTCCAGGCCAGCCTTCCTCTCTCAGCCAAACTGAGCAAGGTCCAGCCCCATCTTTGCAATCCTGGGGCCATGCCTCTCAGGGACACCGACAGACAGACCTGGGAGTCAGAGGTCAGAGACAGGAGAGAGGCCCACGGGGTGGAAGAAGGAGTAGCCAGGGAAGCACAGGAGATTCCACATAGAGGAGCCCTACCACCACCCCTACAGTCTACATGGGCTCCAGGGCTCAAAGGCAACACTGAGACCAGAGACATCTCCCCAGATGAGACCAGAAAGGAATCTCAGCTCTGGGAGATGAGAGCCGTGTGACTCTTGGAGCATCCCACAGGGCTTCTCTGTACAGAGTGAGTGCCTCGTACTTGAGAAGTCTCCTGGGGAAGCAGGCTAGCCTCCAGACAGTGTTCTCTAAGGGCCTCTCCAGCTGGGAGTGACAAGGCTGTGCCACTGGGGTCAGATGACAGCAAGGAGGCCAGATTGAGCACCCTTGCTTGGGAAGAGAGGTGTCATTATATCGGGTATACGTCAGCCAGCAACAAAACCAGGCCTGGGCAGGCCTTGAAAAGGGAGAAATGGTGAGGGAGTTGTGAAAGCCCCTCCTCACTGAGAG
Source organism: Homo sapiens (assembly GCF_000001405.40). Taxonomy (NCBI): domain Eukaryota; kingdom Metazoa; phylum Chordata; class Mammalia; order Primates; family Hominidae; genus Homo; species Homo sapiens. The sequence goes on along the minus strand of NC_000009.12, from coordinate 34,688,116 downwards.
CATGACATCCTCTTCCTCTCCTCTGCTCCCAGATGCAGGTGCTCAAAACCTTGGGTATCCCAGGTCTCAGAATCACCTGGAATACCAGGTGGGTGGGAGGGATAGGGATAGTTTTCAAGAAAAGCTGCAATAACCCATCCATTCATGCATCCATGCATCCATTCATTCAGCTGTTTCTGCATTCATCAGACCTCCATCCAGCCAACTGTCCACTCACGCACTTCCCACCCAGCCATTCTTTCATCCATCCACCAAGCCAGCCAGCCATGGCGTTCTAGGTCTCCCAGCTGTGGACCCCGTGCCCCGCATCCCAGCAGGCTGGTGTCTCAGAGGACAAACACACATGGGAGGGGAGCACATTGCCTGAAATCCTTCTCAGTGCCAGTGACATTTAGAGGAAGTCAGCCTGCCACAGAAGCAACAAAAGTGATCTTTCTGGACTATCGGAGGAACACACAGACGGAGCAGGGCAGGTGAGAGTGGGAACCTTGAAGAAGATGCTACCAGGATAGGGGCCCCTGGACGCTACCTCCATGACACTGCCGCCAGGAGGTACAGAGCAAATCCTGAATTCACTGCCTGGGCCAGAGTCCCATGATCCTGTCTCTGCCCCACTCATTGTGTGACTCTGGGCAAGTTCCTTTTCCACTCTGCACCCGGAGATCCAGTTTCCCCATTTGTCAGATGGGAGAGAGGAGCTTGATTTTTGAGACTCCTTCCAAACAAAGACTTGGCTCCTGAATCTTTGGTTCTCATGCTAAACCGCCAGCATTTGCATAGACACCCCACAAAGTCTTGCACATACAGAAAACTCTCCCTGGGGCCACCCTCTGAGATCAAAGGAGATGCTGAGGCTCATAAAAAGAGAAAATAATCTAGGAGCTAGTGAAGTGCCTTGGATTCAATTGACCCTGGAAGCCTGGGAAATGAAGAACTTGGAGGAAATCTGAAGGGGTGGACACCAGAGTCCCAGGGGAGCTGGCATGCAACCCTCCCCACCCCTTCTACAGCCAATGCTTTCCATCCTAGCTTTCTGCCTTCCTCTTTTTCCCACCCCCCAACCATACCAACCCATCCTGGGCACTGGGTCTTACCCCCTTATCTCCCTGCCAGGTACAATTGCCCAGCAATCTGAGCAATTGGAGCAACTGAGCATCCTGCCCCACTCTAACATTCTCAGCACTGTGACTACATTTAATCAACATCTGCTTCCTCTTTCACGGTGAGTCACTGACAATTGTTGCATTTTCATTTATCCAGAGTTCTGGTGGGCCAGGAGCCCACCAGAGATTGTCAGATCTCTGAGGAGTGGTGTGGACTCCTAGCTTCCCAGTTAGGATGTGGAGGCCTTGTTGCCTGCCTATAGATAGACACCTTCTTCTCTAGCGCACATGGCATCTGTTACAGGTTCAAGGCCTGCAGCTGGGTGATACCTCCCATCCTAAAGGCCAATATCTCAGCAGCCAATATCTCCCTAAAAGTATCTGACATCCCTTCTCAGGTTGCTCTTAGCCTTTGGGGGATGAAAATCTCCCTTTCCTATTTGTTGAGGGAGCTCCCAAGGGAGAGGTTGGGCCTCATCCAACTCCATTGCTAACATTGCTCTGCCAGGGTCTGGCATGAAATAAGCCCCAATACACATATGATTAACAAAAATGGAACTGAACATGGCCTTTTCCCACCATGCCCCGCCCCCCACCAGGAGCACATCCAGTTCTCAAGACAGCTGGGGCTATCTCTGTTGTGTGGTTGAGCGTTTGTTCAGAGCCAGCTTCATACGGTTTTGATCATCTCATATTCAACTTCTCGGCAGGCAAGCTCCATGTCACTCCCTCCTTCTAGGCTACGGGAAACTCAGAAACCACCAGAAAACCTTAGATATAACAGTTTCATGAAGGCTCAGGACTCCTAATTGGGAAATTTCCTGCAAGTGCCCCTCTGTAGGAATCAGCAGGCATTTCTCCAGTCAGATAACTTCCTAGGTGATCCCTGAGACTTTGTCCACATGGAAGGACATGGCTCTGAGTATTAGCTAATTCACCACTGACGCTTACCAGGTACTGGGCACTGCTTTAAGTGCTATTACCATTCTTATGTTGCAGCTGAGAAAACTGAGGTACAGAGGTTAAGTCGCCTGCCCAGGATAGACAACTAGAAAAAAGGCAGAGCTGGCGTTCCTGTCTGGGCAGTTTGGCTCCAGAATATCTACTCTGAACTATTACACATACCACTTCTCTGAGTTGACCTATCTCCTAATTACAAATGGAGAACAGTACAGCAAGGCCAGATGTGGAGAAGCAGCCCATGGAAATAGGGAAAGCCACTACTTTTGGGTGCTGGCCATGTGCGAGTCTCCAAGCTGAGTCCTTTCTTGGCACTACATCACTGCACCCTCAAACGATCCCATGAGGTATCATTAGTACCATTCTATGTATAAGGAATTTGAAGCACAGAGGAGAATGACCTCCCAAGTCAACTCAACTGGTGAGTGGCAAAGCTGGGATTGCAGTCTAAGCCTGACTGATGGGCAGCACTTGGACTGAGGGCTGGGGGCTGGGAAGTCTAGTTGGGGTAGAAAAGCTCAGCTTGCTAGAAAGAGCTGGGGAAAAAACAAGAGAGGAAGCTGGTGGCCAAAGGTGGGGTCCTAACACTTGAACCCAGACACAAAGACACACCCTAGAGGGCTTCCAGCTTCCTGGGCCTCTGCAGTAGAAGGAGCATCAGCTTCCCCAGAGCCTCAAAGAGGGAGTTTACTCAGGCCTCAGTTTTCCCAACAACAGAGGAGTAGAGAAGGGGATTGGGCTACAGCAATGCCCACCCTACTCCTATTCCCAGGGGAGTATCAGATGCCAGGACCTGGTGATATTGAAAGGAAATGAGGAATGTAGGAAGAGTGCTGGGGATCTGGAGGGTAGGGGTAGAGGCAGGACAAGGAACCTTGTGACAGGCAGGGCTCCTGGAAAGGAGTGGGGCCAGGCGTCTGATCGGCAGGTGGCAGAGGACCTCTGAAGAGCAAAGCATCTGAGGGCAGCAAGGCAGCATCAACTCTCAAAAGGCCCATTTCTGAGGGACACTTCCATCTCCCAAGGGGCCAGGGGCAGGCAGGGCAGGGTTGGAGGAAAACAGCAAGGACAGAACCTCTAAGGATCAGGGTAGATGAGGGAATCAGGCCTCCCCACCCTACTTCTAGGGCCTTTGGGTCTTCCCCGTGGCTCCAGGGGGATGCAGAAGATGTGAGCCACCCTCGGCTCCAACCTGGCAGAGGTGGGAAAGCTTTCACCCCAGCCACAGGAACACTACCATTCTGGGACAACCAGATCTCCTAGGGCTTTTGATCTCAGAATCCCAGTCCCTGGAAATCTGAGCCTAACACAATCCAAACCCCAATCACCACGTCGACCTCATTCCTGCCAAACCATCATTTCAAGGGTCCTCTCCCAAGAGGAAGCCAGCCCTTCTGTCAGGGCCTCAACACTGCAAAGTGCTCATCAGTTGAGGAACCCCCATTCCTGATAGGATGTCCCAATGCCTATTATGTCCTCATTGCTGACAGGACACCCATTAATGTCAAGGTCCCCCCATTACTATCAAGCCACCATTCCTCTCAGGAAACCCTACCACTGTCAGGAACACTTAAACCTGTGAGGCAGGACAGCAGCACTGCACAACTCCAGGGGGCACCATCCTCTCTGTAGTCTACGTAAATGGCTCCTGGTATGGCAGCACTGAGTGCCAGAGTATCACTCTGAATGTTAGTGTAAGGCCCCCAGTAGTCTCAGCGCTGCCATCACATAGGTTTCCAGCCCTGGGAAAACCCCTCACGTCTAAAGTGATGCCTCATCACTGTCTGCAACCCAGAACACTTATTCATTCCAGGCACTATTCTAGGTGCTGGTGATACGATAGTGAACAAGATAGATATGGTCTTGGTCTTCATGAAGCTTCCCCCTCTCCTCCAAAAACAAAAGGCAAATAAACAAAAGTGTGGATCAGGATTCTTACTTGCAAGCCACTGAAACTCACTGGCTGATTCCAACAGAAAAGGAGTTTATTAAAAAGACCCTGGGAAGATGCAGAAAATAGCGAGAATAAGTGAGCCTAGGCAGCCAGAACCACTCCCAGAGCATACGGTACAGTACAGATGGTCCAGATAGGCCTCCAAGACAGCATGGTGGCACCACCAAAAGGCGATGCCAAGTGGCCAGGACAATGCTTATGTCCAGACAACTGGGGCCCTTGCCCTGCATCCCATGTTTTAGATGACCCTGATCTGGCCCTCCTCTAATCATATCTCTGGACACAGGAAAAAAAAGTCCACAGGACGAAGGGAGCACCCACCCAGAACTCATTCTTTTCTTCTAGACCATATTTCAGGAATTGAAAAACAGAGAATTTCCTGCCCAAATGCCCCCAAGTAGCTTCCAATATCATTATGGGCCTCTTCCTCAGATTTGTTCTTCCTAGGATAGACTATGTTACTGATATACACACTACCAGGTCCAGAGGGTAGCCAAGAAGTAGCTATTTGCAGGGAATGTAGAAGGAGCTTGTATGTATGGGGCTGGAGTGTTTACACCCAGACACGTGAGACCCTTCATGGTGCAGGATAGAACTGTGGATAGGAAGAGGAGAGGGACAAGTGGAGGGCTGGTGATGGGCTCTCCCCTTACCACCTCATTCCATCATGGATCTCCAAGGAGTTCAAGAATTCTCAACTTGAACCTAGCCTCCAAGTTGTTTTGAAAGTATATATTTTGGCCGGGCATGGTGGCTCACGCCTTTAATCCCAGCACTTTGGGAGGCCAAGGCGGGTGGATCACCTGAGGTCAGGAGTTCGAGACCAGCTTGGCCAACATGGCAAAACCCTTTCTCTACTAAAAATACAAAAATTAGCCAGGTATGGTGGCGCATGCCTGTAATCCCAGCTACTTGGGAGGCTGAGGCAGGAGAATCTCTTGAACCCAGGAGGCAAAGGTTGCAGTGAGCTGAGATTGTGCCATTGCACTCCAGCCTGGGCAACAGAGCAAAACTCTGTCTCAAAAAAAAAAAAAGAGAGAAAGAAAGAAAGTATATTTTTCAAGGTAAGGAAGACAGACACATTTTTTATTTGACAACTTGTTCGCTTGATTTTTACCTTTTAAATATTTAGATAGTGGGCCTCCATTTGTACTATTGCCCCAAGCCTCACCAGTGTTAGGTGGTCAGCCTGCCAGATGCCACCTCTGGAATCATAGCTACAGCTGCCCCTGTAAAATAGACATCACTTTCACCACCACGGCTACCACCACCAAAAATGGATTCTCTAATAACCCCACTCCTTCACATCACTACTAGTTTCCTATTCACAGTCCTATGATTAGCAAAGCCTAGGTCATGTGTCCAAGTCCTAGTGCAGAGGGGGCTGGGAAAATTAGTATGTGACTTTTGGGGATTCTATGATGGAAAGCAAAGTCTACCAGTAACCAAGAGTAATATAATAGGAAGTTTCTCAAACACAGAAAGGGGCTAACTTTGTGGGCAATGAAAATAATAATAATAAATATCTCTATAGTCCACACTATGGCTATCCAAGATCAACATACATCCTTCTTCCCAAACCCTAGACTTCTTAGAAAATTGAGCGTATCACCTAACATAATATCACCTTTGTTTATACAGCCAAAAAAAATTCACCCCCCCGAAAGACAGACAACTCAGAGCCTTAGAAATTACCACATCCATCTTAGTCTGTTCAGGTAGTCATAACAAAATTCCATAGACTGTGTAGCTTAAACAACAGAAATTTATTTTCTCACAGTTCTGAAGGTTAGAAGTCCACGATCAAAAGTGCCAAGATGGGCCAGGCTCAGTGGTTCATGACTGTAATCCCTGCACTTTGGGAGGCCAAAGCAGGAGGATCATTTCAGCCCAGGAATTTGAGACCAGTCTGGGCAATGTCTCCACAAAAAAAAAAAAAAAAAAAAAAATAGAAATAATTAGCCGGGTGTGGTGGCAGGTGCCTGTAGTCCCAGTTACTTGGGAAGCTGAGCTGGGAGGAACTCTCGAGCCTGGGAGGTTGAGACTGCAGTGAGCCGTGACCATGACACTGCACTCCATCCTGGGCAACAGCAAGACCCTGCCTCAAAAAAAAAGTGCCAAGATAGTCACTTTCTGGTGAGGGCTTTTTTTGTGGCTTGCAACCAGCCAGCCACCTTCTTACTATGTGACAGAGAGAGACAAAGAGAGGTCCCTTCCTCTTCTTCTAAGTCTATACTCCTATCGGATTATGACCTCATTTAACCTTTTTTTTTCTTCTTCTTCTTTTTTGAGATGGAGTCTCACTCTGTCACCCAGGCTGGAGTACAGTGGCATGATCTTGGCTCAATGCAATCTCCAACTCCTGGGTTCAAGCACTTCTCCTGCCTCAGCCTCCCAAGTAGCTGGGACTACAGGTACACACCACCACACCCAGCTACTTTTTCTATTTTTAGTAGAGACAGGGCTTCACCATGTTGGCCAAGCTGGTCTCGAACTCCTGACCTCAGGTGATCCACCCACCTCGGTCTCCCAGAGGGCTGGGATTACAGGTGTGAGCCACCACACCCGGCCTCATTTAACTTTAATTACCTCCTAAAGACCCCATCTTCAGATACAGTCACATTTAGGGTTAGGACTAAACATACGAATTTGGGGGGGGACACAATTCATTCCATAGCAACATCTGCTTCTAAATCCAAGATATTGGGGTGACATGTTTTCCCCCTCCAGTTTTACTGTAATCTTACATCTCTATTTTCTAACACCTGGTAACCACCACCAACACACCTGATTGGTCAGAATAGGCTAGGTAATGCTGTAATAACAAATGACATCCAAATCTGAGGAGTGTAATACAACAAAATTCTATTCCCCATGCATACCAAGCCTGCTGTGGGTCCAGGCAAGTCTCCAGCACAGTTGTAGTCCATGTGGCTGCTCAAGTTTTCAAGTGTTTTGATCTGTTGGCAGCCTCTTCATCTCAACACAGGCTTCCATGGTCGCTCCAGTCAAGGAAGACAGCAAGGGAAATTCTTGCTTAAATGTTTTTGTCCACAAGTGACATATGCCATTTCTGTTCACATTTCATTGGCCAAAGTGGGTCACACAGCCATACCTAACGTCTTGATGGTAACTCCCAAGATGAGAAGTAAAACCAGAATCTTGCTGAGTAGTAGTAATACCACCACAACAACCTATATTCAAGAATGCAATAAAGGAGGATAAAAGAAAAGAGGAGTCAGTGAAAGAACAGAAAAATAGACACATTTCACATGGAAGGGAATATGGATAAAAGTTACAGTCAGTAGTTCTGCAACTGGTTCTGGGACTTAGCTGACATTTATTATTCTCTTCTTGTATTGGTTTTCTTATTTTATTTTATTTTTTTTTTTATTTATTTATTTTTTTTTTTGAGACGGAGTCTCGCTCTGTCGCCCAGGCTGGAGTGCAGTGGCGGGATCTCGGCTCACTGCAAGCTCCGCCTCCCGGGTTCACGCCATTCTCCTGCCTCAGCCTCCCAAGTAGCCGGGACTACAGGCGCCCGCCACTACGCCCGGCTAATTTTTTGTATTTTTAGTAGAGACGGGGTTTCACCGTTTTAGCCAGGATGGTCTCGATCTCCTGACCTCGTGATCCACCCGCCTCGGCCTCCCAAAGTGCTGGGACCACAGGCGTGAGCCACCGCGCCCGGCCTTCTTATTTTATTTTTTATTTTTTTATTTTTTGAGACAGGGTCTCCCTCAGTCGCCCAGGCTGGAGTGCAGTGGTGCGATCTCGGCTCACTGCAACCTCCGCCTCCCAGATTCAAGCGATTCTCCTGCCTCAGCCTCCCAAGTAGCTGGGACTTCAGGCACCCCCCACCATGCTTGGCTAATTTTTGTATTTTTAGTAGAGATGGGGTTTTACCATGTTGGCCAGGCTGGTCTCAAACTCCTGACCTCAGGTGATCTGCCCACCTTGTCCTCTAAAGTGCTGAGATTACAGGCATGAGCCACTGCACCCAGCCTTGTATTGGTTTTCTATTGCTGTAAAATAAATCACCACAAATTTAGCAGCTTAAAATAACTCAAATTTATTATCTCACAGCTCCTGTGAGCCAACAGTGTAGGTCTAGGTTGACTGGGTCCTCTGATCTTGGCCTCACTAGGCTGAACTCAAGGTGTCATACAAACATATTTGGACTGTCAGGCAAAAATAAAAATTAAAAATATAAAAGAAATGAACTCAAGATGTCATCCAGCACTGCAATCTCATCTGAGGCTCAGAGCCCTCTTCCAAACTCACTGCTATTTTTGGTAGTTGTGCTTGTAGGACTGAAGCTCCCAGCTCCTAGAACTGCCTGCCATTCACTGGCACATGGTCCTCTCCACAATATGGAAGTTTTTTGAGAAGGCGTCTCGCTCTGTCACCAGGCTAGAGTGCAGAGCCGCGATCTCGGCTCACTGCAACCTCCGCCTCCTGGGTTCAAGCGATTCTCATGCCTCAGCCTCCTGAGTAGCTGGAATTACAGGCACGCGCCACCACACCCAGCTAATTTTTGTATTTTTAGTAGAGACAGGGTTTCACCATGTTGGCCAGGATGGTCTCGATCTCCTGACCTCGTGATCCGCCCACCACTGTCTTTCAGGATCACCCTGAATGGGGCCTTAATGCTATAGTGATCCACTCTAAACTAGTTCCAGAAAATTGTGCAGAATCATATATACCCAGCTGAAAAATTGGCTTATGAGTCAACGGTCATCAAGAACTCTCCATGAGGCTGCAGGTGCAGACTAAGGGAAAGGTGACAATGACCCAGAAGCAAGCATGCTGGAAATGTGAGCAACCTGCTCTTGGGCTTCATACTGCATGGTAATTGGCCACAGACACCTCAAACACCACTGGATCTGATGAGTCAAAGGGCCAAGTGAGAGACAATGGCACTGCCACCAATTCTACTGCCACCACCAAAATGGATTCCCCATGGTCCTTGCTTCTTTGCATCACTAATACTTGATTCACAGCCCTGAGAAGGTACATCCAGATTGGTTGGACTTTCTTAGATGCAAGAGAGGCTGGGAATGTGAGTATCTGGCCTGTAGGGCTTTTATGCAGGAAGGGGGTTCAAACCAGACAGGTGTTAGTTTAAACTCTAAAGGGACAGAACTAATGGAATAGACATATCTAAAGGGGCCGGGTGTGATGGCTCAGGCCTGTAATCCTAGCACTTTGGGAGGCCAAGGCAGACGGATCGCCTGAGGTCAGGAGTTCCAGACCAGCTGGCCAACATGGTGAAACCCCATCTCTACTAAAAATACAAAAATTAGCCGGGCATGGTAGCCCATGCCTGTAGTCCCAGAGACTCAGGAGGCTGAGGTGGAAGAATTGCCTGAACCCGGGAGGTGGAGGTTGCAGTGAGCCGAGATCGTGTCACTGCACTCCAGCCTGGGTGACAGAGCAAGACTCTGTCTCAAAAAAAAAGAAAAAGAAAGAGCCAGGCATGGTGGCTCTTAATCCCAGCACTTTGGGATGCCTAGGCGGGCGGATCACTTGAGGTCAGAAGTTCAAGACCAGCCTGGTCAAAATGGTGAAACCCTGTCTCTACTAAATATACAAAAATTAGCTGGGTGTGGTGGCAGGCGCCTGTAATCCCAGCTACTCAGGAGGCTGAGGCAGGAGAATCGCTTGAACCCAGGAGGCAGAGGTTGCAGAGTGAGCGATACTGCGCCATTGCGCTCCAGCCAGGGCAACAAGAGCAAAACGTCATTCCAAAAAAAAAAAAAAAAAAAGGAAGGAAGGAAGGAAAGAAAGAAAATATATAAAGGGGGGGAGTTTATTAAGTATTACCTCACACGATCACAAGGTCCCACAATAGGCCGTCTGCAGGCTGAGGAGCAAGGAGAGACAGTCCGAGTTCCAAAACTGAAGAACTTGGAGTCCAACATTCAAGGGCAGGAAACATCCAGGATGGGAGAAAGATGTAGGCTGGGAGGCTAGGCCAGTCTCTCTTTTCACATTTTTCTGCCTGCACATATTGCCGGCAGCAATTAGATTGTGCCCACTCACATTAAGGGTGGGTCTGCCTTTCCCAGCCCACTGACTCAAATGTTAATCTCCTTTGGCAACACCCTCACAGACACACCCAGGATCAATACTTTGAATCCTTCAATCCAATCAAATTGACACTCAGTATTAACCACCAGGACACCTAAAAGAGAAGAAGCCAGCCATTCAAGGAGGAATGACCAGTGTGGCCAGAGGACAATGGACGAGGAGGAGATGGCATAAGAAGAGGTAGGACACAGAGGCTGGAATCATAGGATCCAAGTCTTTGCAGGCCACAAGAAGGAGTGAGGATTTTGTTCTATAAGTGCTGTGAAAGATTTAATCTGAGGAGTAACATGATCTCATTAACAGTTTACTGGCTGGGCGAAGTGGCTCACACCTGTAATCCCAGCATTTTGGGAGGCCCAGGCGGGTGGATCACGAGGTCAGGAGATCGAGAACATCCTCTTTCTAACACGGTGAAACCCCGTCTCTACTAAAAATACAAAAAATTAGCCAGGCGTGGTGGCGGGCACCTGTAGTCCCATCTACTCGGGAGGTTAAGGCAGGAGAATGGCGTGAACCCGGGAGGCGGAGCTTACAGTGAGCCAAGATCGTGCCACTGCACTCCAGCCTGGGCGACAGAGCGAGACTCCATCTCAAAAAAAAAAAAAAAAAAAAAAAAACAGTTTACAAAGACCCTATCAGCAGTCAGGAAAAATGAATTGTACAAAGAATGGGGAAGTCAGAGGGCTTTTCCAGTAGTCTAGGAAAGAGATGATGCTGGCCTAACCTAGGTGGTGGCAGTTGGAATAGAGAAGAGGAATCCAATATGGACTTATAAGTAGAACATGAGGCTGAGCTGATGGATTATATTTGAAGCATAAGGGCAAGGGAAAAACCAGGGATGACACCAGGCTTCAGGCCTGAGCCCCTGGAGGGATGGTGGCTTCCTTTTCTGAGATGGATAACTGGGGAGAAGACGAAGACAAGCTAGGAGGGAGGTGTTGAGAATCAGGAGTTTGGTTTTGGAATAAGGTATCTGATATAGTTTGGAAATGTGTCCCTGCCCAAATGTCATGTTGAAGCGTCATCCCCAGTATTGGAAATAGGGCCTGGCGGGAGGTGATTGGATCACGGGAATGGATTTCTCATGGAGGGCTTAGCCCCACCCCCTTGGGGCTGTCCTCCTGAAAATGAGTGAGTTCTCATGTGATCTAGCTGTTTAAGAGCGTGTGGCATCTCCCTCTGTTTCTCTCTTGCTCCTTCCCCTGCCATATGAGATGCCTGCTCCCCCTTCAGCTTCTGCCGTGATTGTAAGCTTCCTGAGTCCTCCTCAGAAGCAAATGCCAGTGTTATGCTTCCTGTATTGCTTGCAGAACTGTGAGCCAACTAAACCTTTTTTCTTATAAATTACCCAGTTTCAGGTATTTCTTTATAACAATGCAAAAACAGCCCAATCCAGTATCTGTAAGAAAGCCAAGGAAATCCCAAATAGGCAGTTGGCTCTGCAGCCTGGAACCCAGAAGTAGATCTGTACACCATCCCTGGCTCTTCCAGGGTCTCACTCTGTTGCCCAGACTGGAGTGCAGTGGCATAATCATGGCTCACTTCAGCCTCAACTTCCCAGGCTCAAGAGATCCTCCACCTCAGCCTCCTGAGAAGCTGGGACTACAGGGGCCCGCCACCATGCCCAGCAAAGTTTTGTATTTTTTGTAGAGATGTGGTTTCCCCATTGTGCCTAGGCTGGTCTTGAACTCCTGGGCTCAAGTGATCCACCTGCCTTGGCCTTCCAAAGTGCTGGGATTACAGGCATGAGCCACCATGCCCAGCCCAACTTCTACCTCTTTAATGTCTCTGGTATCTGCGCCACTTCTTCAGCCCTGCTACTACAGCCCAGCCCTGACTTCAGCCTCCTTCCTAAGGGCAGTTGCAACATCTGGGCTTGGCCATCCCCATGGCTCCTTCCTCAGGAATTTTTCAAAATTATATATGACCAGAAATAACTCCCCCACTCCACCTCCCACACACATATAGCCTCTCCCACCACTAGCCCTTTCCCCGCCCCACCTACATTGGGATTAATCACAAACTCTTATGTCCCTCCTCTGAGCCTTTGTGCTTGCTGTTCATTCTGTCTGGAATGTCCTTTCTCCATTCCCACCCATCCTTGAGGTTCTTTTTGCAAAGCTATCTCCTTCAGGCAGCCTCCCCTCCCTACTTCCCTCTGACACCCCAGGGCTCCCCATCTCCAACCACATAGCAGAGGTCACCCTCAGCTTTACATCCAGGGGCCCTTGTTTCCTGAGCTTCTCCCAAGCAAGCTCAGCCCAGGCCCAGGCACCCTGAGGTTCAGAGTGACCCAAACTGCAGGGAATAGAGGAGATAACTATTGAGGAAACCCTGGCAGTGGCGTTATTTCAAGCTCCAGGGGATAGGACGCAGGGAAGGGGTGTATGCTATTGCTCAAGACTTCCCCCTATCCTGATATCCCATCACCTCCAGAAGTTCTGTGCAATGTTCCACCCACACTCTGGGACTGCAGAGCCAAGCTCTGCCCCTCCAGCTGGACTGAGACCCTCCAGACATGAATAGAGGATTTGCAAAAGGATAGGAAGTGAAGCAGACCCCTTCCCAGGATCAGGGACTTTCAGAAGTTGAGTAATTTGGTTTCTTGCTCATTTCCAGCCCCTTTCTGGAACAAGACATGACAGCCCACTTAGGCCAGATCCCCTCTTCCACAGGCCAGGAACCACACACTCCATTTTCCCCGTATGCTAGACGCCCTCTGCAGGCCCCATGAGGTTGAGAGTCCAGGCCAGGAGCCCCTTTTCCCTAGGCACTGGACGCCCCCTGCAGGCCCTTGCGGATTGAGAACCACAAAGAGATGGATTGAAAAAGCAGCCAGAAAACAAACCTGCCCAGCGCAGTGGCTCACACCTATACTCCTAGCACTGCAGGAGGCCAAGGCGGGAGGATCACTTGAGCCCGGGAGTTTGACACCAGCCTGGGCAACACGGTGAAACCCCATCTCTACTAAAAATACAAAAAATTAGTGGGGTGTAGTGGCACGCACCTGTAGTCCCAGCTACTTGGGAGGTAGGAGGATAGCTTGAGCCCAGTGGTGGTTACAGTGAGCCGAGATCACGCCACTGCATTCCAGCCTGAGTGACAGAGCGAGACCCTGTCTCAAAAAACAAAAATAACAACAACAACAAAAACACCATACACAAACACATAATTGCCGACACCCTTACCCACCTACGTGTCTCTACCCACACACATACATACACAGACACATAATCAATCACACAGCCAATCACTCACATACACCAAGGACACACTACAATCGTTTAAGCATATAATCACAGTACAAACACAAGGGCACTCCCTGTTCATGTTCCCAATAATAAAACATAATATGTCTTCCCCATTGATCCAGACTAGGATTGGCAAACTATGGCCCATGGGCCAAATGCAGCCTGCCACCTGTTTCTGTAAATAGAGTTTTATTGGAATACAGCCATGCTTATTCATTTAAATATATCTATGACTGCTTTTGTGCTGCAACAGCAAAGCTGAGTAGTTGCTACAAAGACTGTATGGCCCACAGAATCTTAAATATTTACTATCTGGACATTTACAGAAAGTTTACCAATCCCTGATCCAGACTCAGCTTCAGAATTGAAGTTGGCAAGTGAAACAAGACTAATTGTCTTCAGTGTCTTGGCATTGAAAGATGGTCAGAGAAATAAATGGATGGGATGGACGGATGGATAGATGGGCAGATGGACACATACAGGTAATAAAGCAGAGTTTTGCTCCGAATACCAGTGTTCCACTCATTATAAACTGGGAAATCTTGGGAAAATTAACCTTTCTGGGTCTTAGTTTCCCATCTGTATAATAGGGATAATACAGTCATTTTTACTGAGGGCTTTTTCGGTTGCAAACGGCAAAAACCCAATTCAAAGCACCTTGAGCAAAAAGTTAAATTTGTTATATCAAAACTAGGTATGAGGCCAGATGCAGTGGCTCACGCCTGTAATCCCAGCACTTTGGGAGGCTGAGGCAGGTGGCCTGCTTAACCTCAGGAATTTGACACCTGCCTGGGCAACATGGGGAAATTCTGTCTCTACAAAAATTAGCCAGGCTGGCCAGGTGCGGTGGCTCACACCTGTAATCCCAGCACTCTGGGAGGCCGAGGCAGGCAGATCACAAGGTCAGGAGATCAAGACCATCCTGGCTAACATGGTGAAACCCCGTCTCTACTAAAAATACAAAAAATTAGCCAGGTTTGGCAGCGGGTGCCTGTAGTCCCAACTACTCTGGAGGCTGAGGCAGGAGAATGGCGTGAACCTGGGAGGCAGAGCTTGAAGTGAGCCGAGATCACACCACTGCACTCCAGCCTGGGCGACAGAGCGAGACTCCGTCTCAAAAAAAAAAAAAAAATTAGCCAGGCTGTGGCACCCACCTACTCAGGAGGCTGAGGTGGGAGAATCACTTGAGCCCAAGAGGTGGAGGTTGCAGTGAGCCGAGATCACACCTCTGCACTCCAGACTAGGCAACAGAGCGAGGCTCCATCTTAAAAAAACAAACAAACAACAACAACAAAAAAGCTTCTCATTAAGGAGAAGATTATCTGCAACCCTGGCTGGATCCAGGGGTTGAAATGTTGTTATCTCCTTCTCTTACCTCAATTCCTCTCTTTTTTTTTTTTTTGAAATAGAGTCTCGCTCTGTAGCCCGGACCGGAGTGCAGTGGCACGATCTCGGCTCACTGCAACCTCCCGCTCCCAGGTTAGAGAATCCTCCTGCCTCATCTCTCGAGTAGCTGGGACTGCAGGTACATGCCACCACGACTGGCTAATTTTTGTATTTTTAGTAGAGACAGGATTTCACTAGGTTGGCTAGGCTGGTGTCAAACTTCTGACCCCAGGTGATCTGTCCGCCTTGGCCTTCCAAAGTGCTGGGTTTACAGGCATGAGCCACCATGCTCTGACTAATCTTTTTGTGTAGGGATCTCATTCCTGTCATAGACAGGTTGCTATGGTTTGAATATTTGTCCCCTCCAAAACTCATGCTGAAATTTAATCCCTGGCTGGGCATGGTGGTGCACACCTGTAGCTGTAGTCTCAGCTACTTGGGAAGCTGAGGCAGAAGAACTGGCTGAGACCAGGAGTTCAAGGCTGCAGTGAGCCATGATCATGCCACTGCACTCCAGCCTGGGCGACAGAGTGAGACTTCGTCTCTTAAAAATATATAACAAATTAAAAATAAATAAAAGAAATTTAATCCCAAATGTAGCAATATTGAAAGGTGGGGCCTTTAAGTAGTGATTGGGTCATGAGGGCTCTGCCTTGATGAATGGATGAATCCATCCATGGAGTAATGGGTTATTATGGGTGTGGGACTAGAGGCTTCCTAAGAAAAGACACGGGCTAGGACACTCAGCCCCCTCACCATGTGATGCCCTGTGCCACACCTCACGACCCTGCAGAGAGTCCCCACCAGCAAGAAGGATCTCACCAGGTATGTCCCCTCAATCTTGGACTTCTCAGCCTCCATAACTGTAAGAAATAAATTATTTTTCTTTATAAATTACCCAGATTTAGGTATTCTGTTAAGAAACAGAAAATGGTCTAAGATACAGGTGCTCTTCTAGTAGCAAGAAATATGGCCACTAGAAGCCTTAAGCCTAAATTTTTATATTGATTGATCTAAAAGAGACTCTCTTTCTCCTAGCATCCAAACATCAAATCTCATAGAAAGCTCTGGTTAACTGTACTTGTGATACATACTCAGTTCTTCAGTCTATCACAGTGGCCAGGAAAAGGGGTACTCTGATCAGAGCACTGTAGCTGACAGCCCCACCAAGACCATGTTAAGTGGGAAAGGAGTTTCCTACAGGAACCACAAAAAGGGGTATAGAAAAGTAGAAAAGTGGTCTGCATAAACAAAAACAGCCCACAGCAATCCACTTCATAGATTTGTCATGAGACAATGAATTTAAAGCATTTTGCATGGTGCCTGGCACTTAAGTATCATAAATGTTAATTATTACCATAACTGAGAGACAAACAAATGAAGGGAAACAATAAATGAATAATGGTTGAACATACAGATGAACAGGTCACAATGAATATATGAAAAAATAAATGAAAGATGAAAGAAGGAAGAATGGGCTGATGAAGAGATAAAGATGAGTAGACATATAGACACATGGATGGATGGATGGATGGATGGATGGATGGATGGATGGATGGATGAGGCAGAAAAATACAGGCAATTAAATCTGCTCCACTATATACTCTAGATCTGGAATGGGAAACAGAATAGCACTCCACAATAGTGTCTTCTGAGAGGTCTATCTCTTGGGTCTGGCAGAACAGTTCTCTGGGTGACCGTACACTGACCCAGTTCTCCTCCCTTTCTCACTTGGAATGCAAAATCTTGAGATAAGGAAGAGGTGACAGAAACAGACAAGGAACAGGCTCTCTTCTAGTCCCACCCCAGAAACAATATCCTTCAATGTTTTAGCCCAGGAATTCACATTGCCCTGGGGTATAAAACCCAAGGCAGGCTGCTTTCTGGAGTCCTTGGCTGCAGTGCAAGTGCAGCATAGGCAGATGAAGCCATCTGCCCTGGGCAGCTTTCCTGAGCCTTGGGGGCTGCCTCACAATTAATCCTGGGATTCTGTTTCCCTTGCTGCCTACCTGAGAGTAATAAATCCATTTCATATAACTTGTTGGATGTGTTCTCCCACTGGACTCAGACAAATTGGCAACCAGTACACAGTAAGCCTGCTTCTCAGGACTCCCTCATTCCTTTCTTTTCCTGTTACTCTGTGAGCAGACCAAACCCTCTCCTCAAAAATCCCTCTCAATTCCCAGGATAGGGAGGCCACGGTAGAGAATGGGCATGTTCTAGGCCAAGTTCTCCTCCAGCTATTCTAACTCAGCTCTGGGGCATAGGAAAATGGGTCAATAAGGGAGAGGGACAGTGCTGGCTGGGCCAGGAAGGTGAAGTCCTAGAGTCCAGAGATGAGAGATAGGGGAGCTGAACCTGCTTCCAAAGAATGTTCCATTTAGCTTCACTTTCCAAGGGAGGAATGGATCTCAGATGGTGGATATATAGGCACTGTGATAGGCCCAGGGAGGTCTGGAGAATCTGGGAGAGGACCTTCTCATCCTTACCCTGCTCTTGTGATTGTCCCTCAGGGAATCTAGTGGGTGGCTATGTCCCATCTTTCCCACTCCTCCTACTCCCAGGTATCTTAGTACTACAGAGAAGAGCTGGCAGTGAGGAACCTAGGGAGGAGACACATTCCTACCTCTGACCCTAATCTTGAACCAAACCCTGACTCCCAGCCTTGAGACTGATGGCTCAAATGCCTCCAAAGGAGCAACATCACAAACCTTGCAAATCTTCCCCTAATGGTAATAGTGCAAACTCTCCTCCCCTTGTCCAAACTGCTTATTGCTGAAATTCTCGGAGCTGAAGCCAAAAAGTGAAAAACAGGTGCAGTCTACTGCGGAGAGTTGTGAAAGAGAAAAGAGTTTCCTCCACAAAAAGGGAGAGAGAGGCGATGGGGAGCTATCCAGTGGGAAAGTATTCTGCTACCAACTCATGGACTGCAATTCACTTCTGACACTAGCCACGTAGAGTTAGCACCAGATTCCACAGGTTTAAGGGAAAGGTCCCCAACAAGACTGTCCCCAGTTTAGATACCAGCCACAAGTAGGGTCTCCAAGCCACCCACATTTCTGGCCAACTGGCTACAAGTCTGAGAAGTTCCCAAAACCCGTCAGTTTTGATAATTTGCTAGAGTGACTCACAGAACTCAGGAAAGTGCTGTGTTTAATTAGTTTATTAAGGGTATAAATCAGAAACAGCCAAATGAAAAGACACACAGGATGAAGTCTAGGAGGGTCTCAAATGCAGAGCTTCTCTCAGTGGTTTCTCCTTGTGGAGACATAAGGTGCATCAGCCTCCTGGGACATCAATGTGTTCATCAACCAGAAAGTTTTATGAGCTTTGGTGTCCAGAGTTTTTTTTGAGATTTCCTTACATCAGCATAATTGAATTATTGGCCACATACCTGAATTCAATCTCCAGCGCCCCCTTCCTCCCCAGAGGTCAGCCTGGCCCAAAGTCTCAACTCTCTAATCACATGGTTGGTCTTTACTGTGACCAACCTCTAACCTGAGCCATCTCATCTCTTAGCATAAACCCAGGTGTGTTCCAAGGGGCTCATGAGTAATAAAGACACTCCTATTACTTGGGAAATTCCAAAGGTTTAGTCTCCCTCTCAGGAGCCAGGGACAAAAGGCAGTCAAATTCTTTATTACACACCATTAGGGAAGGAAGTTTCTGAACGTAGAAAATGAAAGTTTTAGGGGGCCATAAATAGGAGACAGCCACAGCCTCCTACAGATCCACACACACTCATGGACCCTCAGTCTTCCAAGGACTCCCTCGCCCTCATGATCATGATCCCTCTCCTGCTTGCTCTCCCCATCCAACCTCACACACAGTCTCACAGACTCCACACAAGCAGAAGGACTCCTGCACACCCATGCACACCTGCTGCTCCCAGGGACTCTCCTCATTTGTCCATCTCTGCTCATCCTCCATGGCCTCTTGTGTGTGTGGCAACACTCCTCTTCTCAGCATATTGGTTTTCTTGCCATGAGTGAGTAAAATGGGGCAGGGGTTAAACGGTACGGAGGGGCATGGCAGGGATCAATGTGCAGGTCTCAGGGGTCTGTAAAGGAAGCTGAGTTCATGTTGTGAATCCAAAAGTATCTGAGATGGGTCTCAATCAATTTAGAAAGTTTATTTTGCCAAGGTTGAGCACACACTCATGACATGATACAGCCTCAGGAGGTTCTGACAACACATGCTAAAGGTGGTCGGTGCACAGCTTGGTTTTATACATTTTGGGGAGACATGAGACATCAATCAATACGTGTAAGGTGTACACTGGTTCAGTCTGGAAAGGCGGGACAACTCGAAGTGGGGGCTTCCAGGTCATAGGTAGATAAGAGACAAAAGGCTGCATTTTTTGGGGTCTTTGATCAGCCTTTCACTGAATACACAATTTACATGGAGTGGGGAGTAAAGGAATAGTCACACTGATGCCTTAGTCTGGCTCAGTGGATCTGCATTTTTGCATAAACAATAGGGCAGAAGCAGCAATCAGATACACATTTGTCTCAGGTGAGCAGAGGGATGACTTTGAGTTCTGTCTATTGTCCTGCACCTGTGAAGATAAGCTATCAGTTTACATTGCCAGGGTGAAATTCAGCACAACTGTTTTAAGGTAAAGATCTTGAGGCCCATAAGGAATTTCCCTGTGGACAAATTGTGAGGGAGGTATGTAGCTTTTTCTTTGTAGCTATCTCTTTTAGGAATAAAACAAGAGGCAGGTTTGCCTGACACAATTCCCAGCTTGACTTTCCCCTTGGTTGAATGATTTGGGGGTTCTGAGATTTATTCTCCTTTCACAATATCAACATCCAGGTTCTGAGACTGATATGCACCTGAGACTGTACATATGCCAAATGGGTGTGCCCTTGTGATGACTTTACGTCCTGTGTGACATGGGTATACCTGTGCATTGTGTGTATTCCTTTGCAGTCTATGTGTGTGCCTGTGTGGTGTGGGTATGCCTATGCCCTTTGTGTGCACCTGTGTGATGTAGATGTGCCTGTACCCCAGCTGTTCCTGTATGTATCAGTGCCTGGATGGGTCCTGGAGCCTCTGGCTGCTCTTCTCTTTATAGGCTCTGTCTCTCTAGCCTGGACTTCCCAGAGGAAGAAGAGAACAGTGCATGTGGGTGGAGTAGAGAGCAACACTAAAGCTCTGGACACAGATATCCCAAGTTCCAGTCAGGGCTATGGCCTTCCCATCTTAAGCCCTAAAGCTAATACTCACTCCCTAGCTCTGGGAGATACCAACAACTCTGGGGACTCTGCCTCTTAGCAAATCAACACCCAATTCCTGGGAACATTTTTGGTGCCTTCTGCTACCTCCTCTTCAGGGATGGCTGCAGGGCACTTTGTCCTATGAGTCGGGGTGGAGAATGTCCAGTCTCCTCCCCTCCCAATCACTTCCTCCATCATCCAGGTCTCCATTCACCATGTTACTTCCTTCACTTCTCCTTGCCCAATCCCTCCCACAAGGAAGCCCCTAAAACAGGTTCCCAGATCTGGTCCCCAGCATCTGCCCCTCACACCAGGGCCTTTCAGGAAGATGAGTTCTATGGCTCCATTCTCTCTGACTCCAGATTCACCACACTGAAAGGCAGCCTCTAGACCAGCCCTGGATGGATTGCACAAACTGGAGACTGCGGAAGACCTCTGCCAAGGAAAGCCTGGCCCTCCCCAGTCCTGTCTGCCCCCTCTGAGCCCTGTCTAAGATTACAGCCCATGGCCCTTCCTCTCCTTCCTTTCCCAGAGCAAGAGCCACAGCAGTTAGCCCATGACAGTGCCAGAGACAGCCCTGGCCTGGGGAACCAAGGACCAGAAGGGAAGACCAGGCCTCTAGTTCCTCGGCACCAGACCTGACCCAGCCAGGCCTGGAGTGTCAACATGAGTGTGAATGTGAGTGAAAGGGTGAACGTGGTGAAAGCATAGCTTCTGAACTCCCAGACTGCAGTGCTTCCAATAAAACCACCTAGCACCCATGGATCTCTCTGTCTGCTCTCTGTATGTGGCTCAGACAAGGGAAGACAAGAATGAGAGGGAGAAAGAGGGTGGGATGAGGGAGAGAAGAGGGGTATCCATTCCTCACATTTCAACCAGAGGAAACTTTCACCCCACTTATTTCTGGTCACTCCCTCCTATACAGTCAGCCCAGCCCCAAAACTGTCTTTCCCCTTACTCAAACCGACTACAGCTCAGTACTGGGCCTTGACTGGGATGTCAGAGCTCTGGGGCAGCTATTTCCAACCTCCCACACTGGGTTGATTGCCCTTTCTTGACACCTTCTACTTCTTCCAGCCAGCCTGCTCCATTTATAGTAAGAATCTCACTATTCTCTTTTGATCCTCCCAGCTCTACCCCTACCTCTCAGAGGGCAGACAAGGTGCCTGTCTTGTTTGTTGGTTGTTTTGTTTTGTTTTGTTTGAGACGGAGTCTCACTCTGTCACCCAGGCTGGAGTGCAGTGGTGCGATCTCAGCTCACAGCAACCTCCGCCTCCCAGTTTCAAGCAATTCTCTGCCTCAGCCTCCCGAGTAGCTGGGATTACAGGCGCCTGCCACCACGCCCGGCTAACTTTTGTATTTTTAGTAGAGACGGGGTTTCACCATCTTGGCCAGGCTGGTCTTGAACTCCTGAACTCGTGATCCACCCACCTCGGCCTCCCAAAGTGCTGGGATTAAAGGCGTGAGCCACCGTGCCCGGCCACCTGTCTTCTTTACTACTACATCCCCATGCCCAGCACAGTGCCTGACACACAGGTGGTCATTCAGCAAATATTTGTTGATTGAATGAATGTAGCAAAAAAAAAAAAAAAAAATCACAAGAAGATAGGTCTCAGACCAGAGAGGAAGGGCAATGACCCTCCGGCCATTCAGTGACTTAGCCGAGGCCACTCAACTAGGTATTTCCGTAGCCTGGCCTTTTCTAGACTGGACTCTATCTGAGGACCTATTCCTCCTCGGCCCAGGGTCATACAAGGGGAGGAAGGCAGGCAAGAGAGGCACTCGGCAGGGCAGAAGCCCAGGGAGGGGTAGAGGAGACGTGGGGATTAAGAAAACAGTACTGGACTTAGTCCCAACTCTCTTTTCTTGCTGCCTGCTGCGGAAGCCTCGGCCCCCCAAGGTGTAGCTCCAAAACCTGACCTGACACCTATAAAAGAGGGTCCTTTGCCCGCATCTTAATCAACCGACCCCGCCCCTGGCCTCACCCCGTAAGATGACGTTTCGACTCCGCCTCCTCTGGGAGACATGAACACCCCACCCCTTCCGGGGGACAGGCAAACCTAGTGCGCAACGGCATCCCTGTGACGTAATAGTAACGGTCCGTTTCCGGGGTGGAGCCAGGGAGGGCGGGAGTTTAGGCTGCGCTGACCCCTCTCAGCCCCCCCTCCAGGTGACCCCAGCCCCTGAAAATCCTCACCCAGGGCCCCAAATCTCCCAGCCCCATGACCGCCAAACCTCTCGCCCTGGCCCCCTAAATGCCCCAGGCCCCGGAGATGACCGGCCTCCTCACCCCTTAACTTCCAGTGCCTCCCAAATCTCCAAGCCCACCCTGTCCCGTGGTGGCAACTGAGGCTTCTCGGGGGCATCAGCCTCAGATTACCTGAGAACTGGGCAGCCTCGTCCTGAGAATGACGGAGAAGGGGACCTGGGGCTAGGGAATCCCTGATTCAATCATGCCGCTCCCCAGGAGACGTTCGGAGCCCAGGACATGTCGGGAATGAGGAGATACGAGGTGGCGCTGGAGGCGGAGGAGGAGTGAGTGGAGGCGGGTTCTGCGGAGGAGGAACCAGGCGGCTCCGGGGTGGGGGAGGGTGGAGTTCTGCGGGGGCGAGGGGTGGGCAGGGCGAGCCTCCCAGGGGCGTGGGCGCGAAGGGAGCCGCTTTTAGAGGCGGGGCGGAGCCTTCCTCGACGGCGAGGCACCGCGGGGCGGAGTCTGTAGGGTCAGCTCCTCCCCGCCCCGCCCCGCCCCGCCCGGCTCTGCCCTCTCTCTGCAGGATCTACTGGGGCTGTTTCTACTTTTTCCCCTGGCTTCGCATGTGGCGGAGGGAGCGGAGGTGAGGAGGCTGCGATACCGCGGACCCGCCCCGGGCATGGACGGGACTCAGTCTCTGAGGACCCATCGGGGGGAATCCGGTAGCTCCCGCCCCGCCTCATGCCAGTGTCGGGTCGCCCCACAGCTCGGCGCACCCCGGGGAGCAGAAGCTGGAGCCTCTGCGAGGCCTGATGAGCTGTCTGTCCAGCGGCCTGGGTCCTACTCCCCAGCGCTCGGGTCGTGGCTTCCCCCGCCGCAGCCCCACCGCCGCTGCCCAGCCAGCCAGTGCATTAAAGATTTAAACCGAAGCCCACCGTACTGACCTCCTGACTCTGCCGCCGCTGTCGCCATTCGAGCCGAGCGCCCCTCCCCACACGGGCTCTGTTCCGTACTGACAGGGCGTCCCTCCCTGGAAGGGTGCCCTTCCACGTCAAAGCCCCTCATCAGTGTCAGGCCTCCTGTTACTATCAATGGCTGTCTCCCCCAATCCCAACCCCCAAAAACCCATACTGTGAGTCGCCTATATGAAGAGAACTAAATAATCCTGCCTGTTACTCCCTTCCTCGGAGCGAGGACTTTGCCAGCTGTCTGAAGAATCTTCTCTGCTGGGAGTATATCTAAAACATTTTAAGCAGAGGTGTAGGATGCAGGCTGTAAATGGTAAGAGGGGGAGATTCCTAGAAGCTGCCTGCCACAGAGGAGCGACTTGGGTTGGCGACCTTTCCTACAGTTCATACCCCAACTTTTGGCTCCTCCAGTCTGATCCCAAGTTTAGAGATCCTTGGCATCAGCCTACCTAGAAGTTCTTGCTCCCTCCCTAGGAGAGTCCAAGGGCCACTGCTCTTTGCCGCCCCCTTCTGTCACCCAATCAGCCTGGGACCCACTAACTCCTCAAGTGGTGAGAATCAGGGACTGCTATGTGGGCCTGCCTTCAGTTAGGGACTGGACCCAGCACCAGAAAGGGCACCACAAGATTAAGTTAAAGAAAGAGATGGCCCAGTTTCTGGCTGGGGCCAAAGCTACAGCAGATTGTGGCTGGGGAGAAGACTTGGTCTTAAAGGGGAGAGATGGGTGCACACCCAAAAGCATTTGTTTTCTGCCTTCCGAAGACTTCTGGACCGACAAGCCCAGGGAAGACCAGAAAGTATGTAGCGCACAGCCAAGTGATGAAGAAGGTCTATGACAAGCCCGAGGAACCTGGGAGATTTCCTTGGGATTTCCTCAGTGGCTACACCCAACAAGCCTTGGGACACAAGAGAAAGGCCTAAGCCCTATCCCAAGAGAAAGCCTACTCCATAGAGAGTGGCTGACCCTACAGCAGACGACTGCAACAAGATAAGGGCTGGATTACTGTGTTATGACTTGGTTTATGTTTCAAATATAGAGCAGGACTTGCAGATTGAGATCCCTGGACCAGGAGTGGGAAATTCTTAAAGGAGCCAGGGGCACTGAACTTGGCAGCATACCCCCACCCTAGGCAGCTCCCAGCTTCCTGGAAAGGACTGGATAAAGATGAATAGGAGCTTTGCATTGCAGGGAGGGGGTAAAGAACGGAGTGACAGCTGGGTATGGGATTAGGAGAGAAGCGGCTATAGCTGGAGGGTGGGATGCAGGGGGTATAGCAGTTGGACATGAGGGTGTGACTGAACCCGGGTAGGGAGAGGGGATGTTCCTCCAGGCCCAGGAAGGAGGCTGGAATTTGAGTAAAACAAAGATGTAATTGAGTGCTTGAGTCCAATGTCTTCAACAAGTCAGGGACTGGATCTGGAGACCCTAGGCCCCTGCTGGCAAGAGGTTGGCATTCCTGGAACAGGACTAGACAAAAACAGGAAGGTAAGATTCACTGGGCCTTTTACCTGTTTTGACAACAGTAACCTAGCACCAAAGAGCTTTTATCTTCCCTCCTTATCTACCCCACCTTTCCTCCCTGTCTCATCATCCTGGGGAAAGCTGCCCCACCTCAGCATCTCCAAAACACCCTTAATATTACCATAAAGGGCCTTCCCCCAGCTTCTCTGAATGGGGCTGGCCTCAGCCAAGAACCCTCCTCAGCCAGAAGGGCCTGCTCTAGGGACCCATTCCCATCCATTTCTTCTGATAAGACAGGCAGGCCAAGCCAGGAAGTGGGGAGGAGAAGGTGAAGGCAAGTTGGTGCTTGCCTGCCCTCTGCTCCCACCCCACCCACAACTCCCCTGTCAGAATCTGTGTGTGCTAGTGTGAATTTGCTTGTGATTGGATGACTGTGAAAACACAATTGGGTGGGAGAGGGACTTTGAGTATAACCGGGGCTATATAATTTTGTCTACGGTTGTCTGATCATGAGTATGACTTTGTGAGGTTGACCAAGTGATTGAGGAGTGACTTTGAATGTGTGGCTATGCGTATTTGAGTGTGAATGTCTATCATTAGATGCTGCTGTGGATGCTTGACTGCCCTTACTCACTGTTCCATCAGTCCCTACATCACACACTAATCCTTCCCCCAGCTTCACTGCCCAGAGCTTAGGAGCACATGGGAAATGGCTATCCTAGATGAGGAAGGAGTCTGTGGCAACAGGCCGAGAATTAGGGCCCAGGAGTGTCACAGGTTACACAGTACATCTCCAACTGCCTCTGACTCACCTAGTGCCCCAGGTAAAAGGCACCCAGATAAAAGGTAGGGGAGGAGGAGAGAGAGAGAAGGAAGAGTCTAGGCTGAGCAACATGAAGGGGCCCCCAACCTTCTGCAGCCTCCTGCTGCTGTCATTGCTCCTGAGCCCAGACCCTACAGCAGGTGAGTACTTGGGGGTATAGAAAGCTGGGGGTCTGGGTGAATGGGATGAAGTTGAAAAGACCCAGGAAATCCAACCTAACCTCCAGCTGTCTGGCAGAGAGGTTCTTGGTCAGGATCCCTCTGAACACATGGCCCTGTTGCCCCTAGCATTCCTACTGCCACCCAGCACTGCCTGCTGTACTCAGCTCTACCGAAAGCCACTCTCAGACAAGCTACTGAGGAAGGTCATCCAGGTGGAACTGCAGGAGGCTGACGGGGACTGTCACCTCCAGGCTTTCGTGTGAGCTCCCACCCCTGATACCCCTGACTCTGACCTCAGTCCCAACCCCTAATGCTGATCCCAACCCCAGCCCTAACTGCTAATTCTGTTGCCAACTCAGGTTTTCATCTGGTCCTTGCTCCTAACCCCTAATTAGGGTCATTGGGGATGACCCTAATCTCATCCCCAAGCTATGGTCATAGCTTTGGACCTTTCTCTACCCAGGCTTCACCTGGCTCAACGCAGCATCTGCATCCACCCCCAGAACCCCAGCCTGTCACAGTGGTTTGAGCACCAAGAGAGAAAGCTCCATGGGACTCTGCCCAAGCTGAATTTTGGGATGCTAAGGAAAATGGGCTGAAGCCCCCAATAGCCAAATAATAAAGCAGCATTGGATAATAATTTCTGAGTATAATCTCCAAGAACTTCCTTATTCTCTTTATTCACACCTGCACAACCCCTGCAAGGGGAAAGGCCAAGAGCCAAGGACCCACACACACTCCCCAGGCACCTACATACATGCATGCAGAGAATACATGTTCCCTGCCTCACAGACACATGGTCACACATGGACACAGATGTACACATTACACACGTTCCTTGAGCAGAACTCCAACTCTGGGGTGAAATCAGAGGTACAAGCACCTTTCAGCTGCAAATTTGAAATACAGGGTCTCACAGAAATGGGCTCCAAACAGAACTTCCAGCTGAGATCCAACCATAGGGATCTACTGTCCTGCCTGGTTTCTATCCACACCAGCAAGACAGAATTATAGGTGGAATCTGCCGAAGCCCTCCTGGGTCCTCTACAGGTTTGGAGCTCCTAGAAGAAGCAGGAGGCAAATCAGGAGAGACAGTAAGACCGGATCTTGGCCCAGACACCCTGAGAATGAGGGAGGTGACTCAGTTCTAAGCTTAACACTCTGAAGATGAGTAGAGGAGCCCAGCTCTGAGGGAGCCTCTTCAACACACTGAAGATACGGGAGTGGACCTAGCTCTGGGCCCAGGCACATTAAGAATGAAGGAGGGGACCTAGCACTGATCCAAGACACCTTGAAAAAAAAGGATGAATATCCAGCTCTGAGTCTAATACCCTGGAAGAGTATTAGTACTAATACTAATACCCTGAAGGGAAGTCCACCTGGGGTCCTTCCTCAGTACCCTGAGAGGAGGGAAAGAGACCCACTTCTGAGCCCAGGGACTCAAGAATGAAAGGCCCAGCCCTCAGCCTAGACATCATTAAAATGAGGAGACCCAACTTGGATTCCCAGCATGTTTTAAAATGACTAGGGCAGCCAGCTCTTAATCTGGACACTCAAAATAGGGGCAAACATCTCCAAGTCCAAATCTTCTGGATGTCCTACTCACCTGGACGCCTGTCCACTGGAATCACTGAGGCCAAGAACCCAGGCTTTGGGGATCCATCCTTCCCACCCCGTCTCAGCCTCAGCCTGGGGCATAGAAAGGCAGCTGTCTCTCCAACAATGTGGGTTATCTCAGTCTCCGCCAAAGGGTTTATTAGTAAAGGGTCAGGAGAGGAATCAGTTAAAATCAAGTGGGGCATGGGGGATGGAGGTATGGGGAGGTAGTTCCAGAATCAGACAGGTTCAGCGGGCAGTCATGAAGGGTGGAGATGAATGTGGTCTATGGGCATCAGAGCATGTGTGAGGATCAGAGGCTGAGGGACCAATGGCAGTCACTTACCAGAGCCCCAGTGCCAGGGCCCCAGCCACCAGTCCCAGGAAAGAAAGGATTCCCAAAGACGCCAGCACAGCTACCTGCTCCACAGAGTCCCTGTGATCTGAGGGGGAGGGCCACATGTCACTGAGAGCAAGCCTGACCAAGCTCGGTGTCCCCTTTTCTCTGGGGTTTTCAGTCCTTTACAAGTCTTGCCCATCTGCCCAAGCTCACCAAGTAGCCGAGGGTGTGGTTGGAGGGAGGGCCTTGGAGGAGCAGGGCTGTCCACCTGAGGCTCCACCTCTGGCTGCGTGTGTAGCTGGCCCCATGCTGGTATCTCCTTTGGTATGGTCCCTAAAGGAAGGCAAGACCCAATAAGTGTCCATACGCTGGTGGGGACGGGGGTCACGTCCTGTGCTCAAGGCCAAGGCCTAGGTTGGAAGTCAAGGTACCTAGGAGGAGGAGCCTGATAGGGCATGGCCAGCTCCTAGGGAGCATGGCAAGCTCCAAGCTTGTAGAAGTGGAGCCTGTAACTGCAGGGGTGGAGGCCAAGGGGCAGGACTTAAGCTAAGACAGGGCTGTAGGCAAACAAGTCTGAAGTCTGGGACAGCAATTGCCGTGCCTGTGTGGGCAGGGCATGTGCCACCTGCCTGTCTTTTGGAACTGGTTCAGCTGATAGATGCTTTGGGATGGGGCCTCTGCCCTTTTCTTTGGCTTTGTCTCTCACCAGTGCTCGGAGTTCCCCAGGCCTCCGGGCTCCAGGTGCTCCAGGTGCCAGCATCTAGAAAGTCCCGGGCACTGACTCGTACAGCATGGGGCAGCCCAGCCACAGCATCTGTGATCACCTCCTCCAGTCCAGCTGGCTCCACCTGGGGGTAAACATGACTCACTGTTACCCAGCTTGTAAGTGCAGGGCCTTCCCAGCCACCATCTACAAAGAGCACCCCTTGCTCCCAGTCTCATCCTAAAGCCTAGTGGAGCTGTCTAGGTCTCATGTTGGGTGTCTGGTGGAGCTGAGTCTACACCTAGTGTTTGTAAGACGGCAGTAGTGATTACTTAGAGAGGCTGTGGCATCAGGCAGCCTGGGTTCAAATCTTTGGTGAACCACATATTGAATGACCCTTTGGGCCTCTCTGTGACTCAGTTTCTTCATTTGTAAAATAGAGGTGAATCTACCTAAACAAAACAATGTATGCAAAAAGTGTAGCCAGGTACCCCACAGGCAGGCAGCACTAAGTAAATATTAGTTATTATCTGATGCTGCTGCTCCCTAGTCCTGATACCAGCCAATCTTTAACATCTCCTGAGACACAAATTCACTGCTATCCTCAGCTGGGTATATGAGTGTTTGTAGGAGAATGTGCCTCTAGGTGAAAGGCACTCCTTTTCCTAAGAGTTATTTTTAGGCCGGGCGCCGTGGCTCACACCTGTAATCCCAGCACTTTGGGAGGCCGAGGTGGGCAGATCGTGAGGTCATGAGTTCGAGACCAGCCTGGGCAATATGGTGAAACCCCATCTCTACTAAAAATACAAAAATTAGCCAGGCATGGCGGCGGGCACCTGTAGTCCCAGCTACTCGGGAGGCTGAGACAGAAGAATTGCTTGAACCCAGGAGGTGGAGGTTGCAGTTAGCCGAGATTGCACCACTGCACTCCAGCCTAGGTGACAGAGCGAGACTCCCTCTCAAAAAAAAAAAGTTATTTTTTTAAAAGCCATTGCTATCTTCCCACAGATGTGCTTTACCTCATAGTTATAGCCCCACAGGACAGACATTCAGTCTCTCAGTCACCACTGCAACCCAGCACCCAGTACAAAGCCTGGCCCACAGGGAAGTGTTGGGTCTTCAGTGACCTGCCAGCACTGGAAAGCTATACAGAACACCCAGGATCGTGAAATCAGAGACAGGACCCACAGCCGTGGGTTGGGACGCACTCCAGGCCTCACCGTGGACCAGGCTGGATGCTGCGCCGGACGGTACTGCAAACGGAACTTGAGCAGGAAGTGGGGCTGGCACGGCCAGGAGGCAGGGTATGTCCAGCTGGCTCGCAGGCGTCGGGGGTAACCTGGTACTGACTCTACCCGCAGGCCCTGGGGTGGGTCAGGGCGCACTAAGGGCATCAAGACACAAAGTCAGGGTAGGCTATGGGTCTCCATCACTTCCCCACCACTTCCCAAAGTGTGTGTTTAAAGGAGCCTTAGCCAGACACTCCTGAGAGGGGAGGGGAAATCTTAAACTTGATCATCCATTAGACTCAGACCGGTCATCTGTATTATGAAATGGGCTGAGGCCGCGTGTGGTGGCTCATGCCTGTAATCTCAGCACTCTGGAAGACTGAGGCGGGAGGATCACTTGATGCCACGAGTTTGAGACCAGCGTGGGCAACGTAGCAAAACCCTGTCTCTACAAAAAATTTTAAAAATTAACCAGACATGGTGGCACATGCCTGTAATCCCAGCTACTTGGGAGGCTGAGGTGAGGGGATAGCTTGAGCCCAGGAGTTGCAGGCTTCAGTGAGCCAAGATCACACCACTGAACTTCATCCAGCCTGGGCACAAAGTGAGACCCTATCTCAACAAAAAAAGGAAGAGAAAGAAAAAAAGAAACCACCTGAGATCTGCGGGTGGACTTTTGAAGTGCTTCTTGAGTGAATAAAAGAGCAATTCCTATTTTCATCCAAGGAAGATGAATTGGCCCAAATTCCAGCTAGAGTTTTAGTGTCCCACTCCCATGCACAGGTCAAGGAAGGAGGGGCCAGCAAGGGAGGACATGACATATGGCTGCATTCGGTACAGGGCCTGCTCTGAGGCTAGGCAGCCAATCAGGCAGTGTGGGTAGCAGCAGCAGCCTCTAGAGTGTGTGCTGAAATAACCATGCCTCCTGGGCTCTGATCCCTTTGCCTTCTCAGGCTCCACAGGGCCTTCTCTGTGTGAAATGGAGTCTAGGTTGGGAGGAAACTGGGAACTCTGGGAGTGGAGAGATCTGAGTCCATTTGGGGTCTCTGTGATGGGGGTCTGGGGGAGGTCTGGGGTGGGTACTCACAGATGCTCTGCAAGCTCACATCCAGCAGGCGTGTGCTGGCACCCAGTGGGTTCACCTCAGTCACATTAATCCGGTACTGGCTCCAGAACTCAGCCCCGTGGACAACACAGCGGGCAGCCCCTAGGGGATCCTGTGGGCATGGCCAGGGCCCTGTGGATGGACTCCTCCTAGAAGGGAGGATGTGGTCTTTGGCTTTGAAAATGCCTACTGTGGGACCCAGCTGGAGCCCCCACATGCTCCCTCACGTCCTACCTCTGGCTATCAGCTCCTAGGACTGTCTTCTTCCTGGTGGGGAGGGGGCCATCTGAAGTCAGGAAGGAAAAGAGGGCCTTCTGCCCTCTCTGAGGCTTTCCTCAGAACCTACCTCCCTGCCTCCCACACCCACATTGCACCAGCATACCCAAATGTGTAGGCATCCACACCCAATCACACACACACCTGTAGGAGGTGAGGTAGCGGGTGGGTAAACCGCTGATCTGGCTGGGACTCCAAGTGCAAGAGAAGTTCTCATAGTCGGCTGCTTGGCAGGAGACAACAGGGCGGGCTGGAGGGTCTAGAGGCAGAGGGTACACCTGGAGACTGAGCAGTCCTCAGGTCCTCCTGGTCCCAGAGGGCTTACTTAGGTCCCATACTCCCTCAGGATCCCTATGTGTCATCAGTGCCACCCTCCCCAACTCACAGCCCAGCTGCAGGGTCACTGTGCCCCCAAGTGCACCATCCAGGGTCTGGCAGATGTAGGTGCCCTCATCAGTGCTGTCTGCCTGGGCCAGGACCAGTTCATGCCCTAGCCCAGAGTCAGGTCCCTGGAGCAGCTTTGGCTCCCCATCCCGAAACCAGGACACTGGGTCCCTGGAAGTGAGATGAGGTGACAATGGACAAAGACAAGATGTCAAGCATAAGTCAGACCATGCCACAGCTCTCCATTGGCTTCTAACTGCATTTGCAATAGAACCCAAATTCCTTTTACTGGCTTTCAAAGCCCCTTGTGAGCCAGCCCTTGCCTTCCTTTCCTTCTTCAGCTCCTATCTCTCTCCCCCTCACCCACTGAAAACTCCAGCTACATTGGTCTTCTTTCTATTCCTCGGGGGTATTGAGCTCATTCCCACCTCAGGACATTTTGCACTAGCTGCTCCCTCTGTCACGAGCGCTTATACCTTAATGTGTGCATGGCTGCCTCCTTCCTGACCTTCAGAAATCAGCTTCAACACCATCTCCTCAGAGAGACCTTTCCTAACTACCAATTAAAAGGTAACCACGGGCCAGGCACGGTGGCTCACGCCTGTAATCTAGCACTTTGGGAGGCTGAGGTGGGTGGATTACTTGAAGTCAGGAGTTCAAAGCCTGACCAACATGGTAAAACCCCGTCTCTACTAAAAATACAAAAAAAAATTAGCCGGGCCTGGTGGCGCATACCTGTAATCCCAGCTACTTGGGAGGCTGAGGCAGGAGAATTGCTTGAACCCAGGAGGCAGAGGTTGCAGTGAGCCCAGATTGCACCACTGCACTCCAGCCTGGGCAACAGAGTGAGACTCTCGGAAAAAAAAAAAAAAAAAGTAACCACTCAGTTGTCCTCTTCGACATCCCTCACTTTGGTTTTTCTGCCCTGCAGGTATTACTATCTGGCAAGATTCTCCTTTGCTTATTGTCTTCCCCACTAAGATGTAAGCTCTTTGAAGGCAGGCACCTTGCCTGGCATTAGCACTGCTGTATCCCAGAGCCTAGAATAGACCTGGCACTTGGCAGATGCTCAAAACATACCAGTTGAATTTTCTGTTGAATAAGGATAGTTAGACGGTTAGGACAGATAGAGAGGTGAGGATTACGGACAGAGCGGGCAAGGATGGGAGGGGCGGGACATGAGGACTAGGCAGAGTCAAGAAAGGGTCATGAGTGTCAGACCAACAGGCAGGTGGGGCACTTACCCGGCAGTCACTCCAGGACAACACAGCTTCACGGACCTGCCTGGCTGCCCATACTGGACCCCTGTGGAGGGCACTTCTGAGGTAAGGCTCTTCCTTTACCCCCCTCCCCACTTTGTGAGAATGACAGATAAGAAGCAGACTGTTAAAACCTGGGTGGTGGGGGGCTCACTGGATCAAAGCATCATGTTATAATCTGGAGACAGAGGTCAGAGAACAGGGTAGAGAGAGGACCCAGGTTGGATGACAGGAGCAGGGGTGGTGTCACAAGTTAGGCATGGGAAGGGGCCACAGTGAGGGTGGCAAGTCACAAGTCAGAGTTGGGAGGTTGTAGAGCAGGGTTCTTCTCACCTGGGGGGCCCCAGGCCTGGGGGCAGGGGGAGGAGGCAGACACCAGGGCTGTAGCCACGGCCACCAGGACCCTGCTCAGCCCTGAGCAGCTGCTGCTCATCTGTGGGGAGAGGTAGAGTCAAAAATCCCCGACCCCTGAGATGGGAGGCTAAAGCCTGGCTCTTCCTCTCCAAAACTGAGGCTTCCTAGGAGAAAAATTGATGCACCAAGTGGGGTAAGGCTGTTAGAAATCACTGCGGGAACTGACCTGAGGTCCCCTTTCCCACTGTATACCCAGTGCTTTGCATGTGCGTGCGCGCGCACACACACACACACACACACACGGACACACACACCCCCTCACACCCTCCATCTCAGTCCTGGGCTTAGGGCCCAGAACAAAAGCCGGAGGCAACAGACTGTGCCAGCAACTCCCCCTCCACTGCCCTTGGCGCCCACCCCTGGCACCAAGCACTGGCACCAGCTCAGCCACTCCCATTAACCCCTCCAGTCCAGCTGTTGGGAATTCTGGTATTTACCCCCACCTGGTCCAGGGCTTATCACTGCCTCTGATTAACCTAGGCAGACCTTATCACCCTGGGGGAAGGGTGTCATCATGGATCTGAGCCCATCCTGCACTCCCACCCTGAGGCCCACCCCTGCCCTGGCTGCCAGGCTTCTCGCCTGAACCTGGCTCCTTGGTCTGGCTACTTGGGCCACTCAGCTGGGCCTGGCTCTTGACACTTCGTTGGTCTCCAGTTTGTGAAGCTGGATGGGGCTAGGGTGCAGGCTGGGGCTGTGTAGTTAAGCAGATCCAGATGCCCTGGCTGCTGCCAGAGGCTGGGGGTGGGCGAGGAGCCAGCAGATGGAAATGGAGACAGGGTGGCGGGGAGGGGAGGGGAGGGAAGGGGATGAGAGGCTGAGAGGAACTGGGAGCCTGCAGGGACAGGCATGGGGGCCACAGCACCAAGAGATACTCAGAGATCAGGACTAGGAGGTGATGGGGCAGTGTGGGAAGTGTTGGAAAGACTGGATTGGGGTCAGCGGAAACTCAAAAAGCTAACAGTGTGTCTATATGGCAGGTGGGGGATGCTAGGAGAGAGAGATTCTGGACAAGGGGGAGCAGAAGGAGGAAGGCAGTGGTGAAGTGGATGGAGAACGAAGGGGCAGGCGGGGAAAGGGCTCTGGGAACAAGACCAGAAGAGGAAGAGCACGGACCCTTCAGGAGTAGGAGTAGAGCAGAGCAGGGCCTCCACCTGTCTGTGTGTCTGTCTGAGTGTGTCCAGTTGGCTCACCCCTGGCCACCCAGCCACACTTACCCTGCTTAGCCCCACCCTACCTCGGTGATCCCAGCAGCAGAGTGTCCATAGCCTCTAGGACTTCCTCTCACCAGCTACAGCCCCCGTCTCCTACTCCACTCAGTTCTGGGACCCCAGAGCCATCCCCTCCTTCCCCTTCCCTGCCCCGCCCCCTCTAAGCCCTGGAGCTCTGCCGCCCCTAGCCAGGCCCCCTCCCTGCTCCTGCCTCCTCCCTCCTTCCCTCCCACCCAAGGCCCTGGGAAGGGAAGAGGCCTCCCCCAAGTCTGGAAAGGAAGCCACAGACACAGCCAAGGCCAGCAAGAGGGAAAGGAGGGTGGCTAATACTTATGTCCCTGTCAGTGAGAGATGCCCTGTGTTTTCACACAGCCAGACACAGTCACATTCACACACAGACTCAAGAGGCACAGTTAACAAAAGGGCATGCCTTTGAACACACGTGGACACAATCAAATGAAAAATCAGATACAAACTCCCCCTCTTTTCACTCCTCACCAAATGTTTCCTTAGGGTACAGCTGGCTGTGCTTCCAGGGGAAGGGAGGCCCCAGGTTGGGGGATATAAGGAGAGGCCAAAGAGTCCAGTTCCCCCTCCCCTGGAAGTTCCAGCCATTTCTCACCTCCCCCTCCATTCTTTGGGCCCCAGCACCAGGAAATGCCTTTGGTCCCTTGGTGCCAGATACACAAGACCCACAGTTACCCTCAGACTCATACACTCTCACATGCGGTCACTCACAGTCACACGGGCACAGCCACACCGCCTCAGACTCAGACACACTTACACATATTCATACACTCACGCAGTCACACACGCACACAGCCCCTACCAGGGCTCACAGCACCGCCTAAAAGCAACTCTTCATCATGGTCTAAGCCCCCTCTCTCAGGGAGCTCTTAGCCGGGGCAGACCCGCATCTCATCACTGTTACAGGCCCCCAACTAGCCAGAGATCAAGATCAGCAGGGAAGGCAGGCATAGGGGCACAGAGAGAGACAGAGAGAAAGGAAAGGCAAAACTGGAAATGCACCCACACAGAGAGACCAGGGGAACAAAGCTGTGAAGAAACACACAGAGGTATCTCTAGTAAGACAGCAATAGGGACAGAAAACGGCACGTAAGGGAAACTGAGCCAAGCAGGGAAACAGAAAATAAGGAGCAGTAGACCTGATGCTGGGGATTCTTGAGCAGAGGAAGGAGGGGAAGCCACGTGTGTTGTGGGTGTGTCTGTCAATGCTGGACACTTAAGAGAAAGGTCAGTCCCATGGGCTCTTGAGGTAGGTCCCCCAATACATGAATACAGCTGTACTCCCACACGGTTTAAGTTAGGACCCAGGACACACACATAGTCACAAACCTCACTTTTGCTCTGCTACTGCTGAAGTCACACATTGGCACACACAAAGCCAGCCACCCACTCTCACGCTGGCAGACATGGTCTCAAACCCCACAGAGACCTTCCCAAAACACATTCCCTCATGTGGTCACAGTCCCTCTCACACAAACACACAACCCAGTCCCACCAAAAATGTGCATTGACAGATACACACATAATCCCACACTTGCACAGCCACATGCACCTCCAGCTCCATGCACACTGACACACGCAGTCACATTAGCTGACAGCTGCACCAAGTGACACTCAGAATCGCACACAATGATACTGTCACACAGACACAGCCTCACAGGCACATACACACTGACAGTCGTTAGTCACTCCCGGCCTTTCAGATCATACATCACCCTGCCCCGCCCACTCCTGACAAGACTTTGGCGTCTACACCAGGCCTCACCTTCCGCGGCCGCTGCCGCCAGCGCCCTCTGCCCTCGCCCTCGCCCTCTGCCCCGGCCTCTACTCCCTCCCGCCCTGGGCCCCCGCAGCGGGGGTGGCTCCGCCCAGGCGCCAATGGAAGGAGAGGAGTGAAATAGGGGGGCTCCTGGCCCATTGGAGACTCCAACTGCCAATCACCTCCACCCCCACCTCCGCCGGACACTTCCTGTCCCGTCCCGGACTGAAGAGGCTGCTTGGGACAGAGTCTGGAGCTGGATTCCTGGGTCTCCGCCTGAAGGCCTATCCACCCTGGAACAGCAGGACTGGAAACAAGAGCCACTGGCCAGGTGATTGGAGAAGCTGAAGGTGCCCCTGACTCCAGATAAGATAAAGAAGAAGGAGGGCTGTGTAGGGCAGTGGTTCTCAAACTTTGCTGGATATTGTGGTTTGAAAACTGCAAAACCCCACCCCATACCAATTAAATCAGAGTCTCTGGAGGTTGGACCTAGGCACCAGTATTGTTTAAAACTTCCCAGATGATTCCAAAATGCAGCCAAATCAGAGGTGTAAGGTGTGTCGGGTATATGTATGCCTCAAGAAACCAGCCACCCACTCAGGGTTCTCATCTACTCCCCAGTCATGGGAAGCTCGAGGGAAATGTGTGCATACTATGTCTATCAGATCTTCCAGACCAGGGCAACACTCCCAAGTTCCAGGTACTTCCCCTCCAGGATCTCAGGGAAGAAAAACCCTGGTCTGGAAGGCAGGCAGCCAAGTTTCTCCTGGGCCAGATTCAGTCACTGTCCAGCCTTAGTGTGATTTCCCCACCCACAGGCTTGGTTCCCCTGGGGAAAGAACGAAGGCAAAAACCATTCTGGCCATCCCTGCATCATTCACAATGCCTGCCTTCGCCTTAAAATTTGGAGGACACCAGTGGCATCAGGTCTCCTGTGTTGCATAGACTGTTGTTCCCACAGCGTTGCCAGGGAAACAGGTCCAGAGGGGACTGAATAGACCCCAGGTCACTCTGAGAGCCATACCTTCCTTCCAGGCCCTAGGGTTCCTAACTCTAGCAGTCCCTTCTCTGTCAGAGCTGTTTCTGTTTGTGCAATGATTGGGGCACAAGGGCAGCAGAAGTATATGGTGCCCGCACATGTGAGAGTCTGGAGGAGCCAAGGACACAAAGCCACGTACACGCTCCCTACACACTCCCTACCCGCCCCTTTAGCCCCTGTGGGCTGGAGCAGAGCCAAGCTGCAGCCACTCACAAAGCCAGGGTTCTGGCCAGCAGCCCAGGATCTGGCCACTGACCACTGGGATCAGGATCCAGCTCACCCGCTCCCCATCAAACCCTCAGGCCCAGGCTTGGAGCTGACACCCTAGGGGTGGTGGCAAAGGGGGCTCTGGCCTTCCCAAAGCCTCAGCCACAACCAAGACACAAGATTTTAAAACAGTTTCCTAAACTGGGAATGCTGTCATTACACCAAGAGTAAGAGAATCTATAGGCTAGATATAATACTGAATATTAATTTTGTTCAGAAATTTGGGGTAGATTTTTGCATCAAGATTTTACACATCTGTAGACAAAGAAAAGTTGTAGCTGGAGCTATGCCTTTAGCTTTTAACCCTAGATCTCTGAAGGTTCACACTCCTCTGATATTAGAGTATGTGATAAAAGTTTGAGATGCACAGTTTTATTAATGCTATATCTGCCCAAATTCCAGGCCAGGATTCAAGGCCCTTTCTGCTTAATTCAGCAAGACTGTTGAAAACAAAAAAGGATTCAAGGCCCTGTGGTCGGCGTGGTCAGGCGATGGTTGCTGTCTCCCTGTCCTTCTGCCCCAGGTGGTAATGAACCTCAGGAAGTGCCCTTAGTCTCTCTGCAGCCTGGAAAAGGGACAGGGAGCAATTAAGGAGGATAAGGGCTGGGCTGCCAAGAATGGTGGCATGGACTTCATTTTTTTTTTTTTTTTGAGACGAGGTCTTGCTCTGTTGCCCAGGCTGGAATGCAATGATGCCATGATGATGGCTCACTGCAGCCTCAAACTCCTGGGCCCAAGTGATCCTATCTCAGCCTCCCAAGTATCTGGGACCACAAGTATATGCCACCATACCTGGCTAACTTTTTAAATTTTTTTTGTAGAGACGAGGGCTTCCTATGTTTCCCAGGCTAGTCTCGAACTTCTGGGCTCAAGCAATCCTCCCATCTTGACCTCCCAAAGTGCTGGGATTAAGGCATGAGCCACCACACCCGGCCGATGGTATGGAGTTCTGGGTGCTCAGGAGACATTTTGCTGGATATTGTGGTTTGAAATATGAATATGAAATATGAATGCCACAGGCCCACTGGGGGTGGGCCTGTGGGATTGTGAGGCTGGTGATAAGGACTGCTGAAGCCACCAGGGGATGAAAGAGTTTAGCAGCTCCTGAGTCCCAAGGAATGCCCAGGTTGTTATGGGAAACTATCAGGGTCATGACTGTTGGGTTCCCTGGAGGAAGCAGGAGAGAAGGGGGATCTGAGGACCATACTCTCCTTCCAGGCCCTAGGGCTCCTAACTTTGGCAGTCCCTTCCTGCCAGAGCTGTTTTCTGCCTTGTGCAATGACTGGAGCACAAGGGCAACAGAAGTATCAGGTGCCTGCACATACTGCATGTGAGAGTCTGGAGACGCCAGACTGTTCTGAGTCCTGACCTGCTCAGGGGTGAGGTCCCTCTGAGCCTGAGCAAGCATTTCGTAGCCAACCATGAATTTCCGGACAGTGGCAGAGCGCAGGAGCGGAGGGTAGTAATGAGCGTGCAGCTGCCAATGGTTCCAGTTGGCCCCAGCCTCTGATCCTGTGGGAGCCCCTGACAGAAAGAAGAGAGACAGTGGGGAGAGAGAGCCCTTTTACAGTTATCCAGGTTAGCACCTACTCCCAAACCCAACCAGGTATCTGAAAACTACATCTCCCAGGATCCCCTGCTTGAGAAGAGCTGGCAGGAGATTAGAAAGCACATTGGAGATGTAGTTTCACCAAGTTTGCTGCTCCACCCTCAGTCCCAGCATCTCTACTCTGGCCACTTCCCCCAGCAACTGTTTCAAGGCTTGCTCCTTTGAGGTTGCAGTTCACTAGGCTGAGCCCCAGGAGCCCAGAAATGGTGTTGGGGCTAAATATAGGTACTTGAAAAGCCTCACCATGCCAGCCCATGGAGTAGGGAAAGGACGTCTCAAAGAGGTTGTCATACTTGGTCAAGAGCTTCTTCATGATGGAGGCTAGATCTGGAATCAGAGCCTGACTCTCAGCCTGGGGTCCAGATGCTGACCCTACTGGGAGCAACCTCCATCCAGTGCCTAGCCCCAGGATCCTACTTGGGAGACTGACCATCACGCTCAGCAGGGGTCAGCTCAGGTAGCCGCCGCACATGCCGACGGGGCAGCAGCAGTGTCTGGTAGGGCCATGTTGCCCAGAAGGGGACCAGTACTAACCAGTGCTCACTGGTTAGGACCAGACGTTCCTAGGAAGACAGAATGGATAGGAAGTCATCAAGGTGACATAGGAGCCGGAGTGTGGTCAGCAAATAGGCAAGGGAAGCAGAAGAAAAGAATGTGCCCAGGATCTGATGTCTTCTCACCACCTCTACCACTAACCACCCGAGTCTAAGTCACCATCATCTTTCCTTTAGATTACTGGATTATTGCTAAGGCCTCCTAGCAAGTCTCTCTCTACTAGTTCACCTCTAGCTTTCTCCTTTACACACCTCTCTCATGGGATAAGAAAGTTAGGGACTCCTTGGGGACACAGGGCTTGGCTCTCTCCCACCTTCCTGAGTAGCTCCTGGCGGCTGTACTCCATTAGCAGGGGCTCTCCATGCTGACTCTTATAGGCCTGCTGAGATCGCTCCTCACGCTGGGCAATATCTGGCAGGAAACTGCTGGCCCATACCTGTCAAGGGGCAAAAGCAGAGAAGAACAGGCAGGTCCTTTACCTCCAAGCCTCCACATCATTGGCATATTTCCTCTGTCCCATCCATTAATCCTGTTCCCATGT
Organism: Homo sapiens; assembly: GCF_000001405.40. Taxonomy (NCBI): domain Eukaryota; kingdom Metazoa; phylum Chordata; class Mammalia; order Primates; family Hominidae; genus Homo; species Homo sapiens. Next base: position 34,648,228 of record NC_000009.12, on the reverse strand, counting down.
CCACAGTGCTGGCTCAGACTCAGCCAAGAAACCCACTGGAGCCCCTGACACCCTTACCTGGCAGTGGGGGTGGGGGTTAGAACAGCCCATCATGGCACCTTTGTTTTCAAAGATCTATCAGATAGGGATACGGAGCTCTGTTAGCCAAAAGACACCAAGTCAACTCCCTCCTGACCACACCCTGTGGAAACAGAAATGTTACTCCCCAGAACCAAAGCTTCATCACCCCCTCCCTGCCCATCCAGGGGAAGGGGCGACCTCACAAACCTGCACCCAAGGGTACTGGGCACCCAGCTCCTCTGTGACTGAGGCCCATGCATCAACAACAGCCCGGATCTCAGGGACCGACATGAGTGGCAGCGTTACATCCGACCAGGGGTGGAAGCACATGACCTTACTGGGTGGTGACGGGAGAAAAGATAACCGAGAGGTAGGGCTTGGCTGTGCTACGGGCAGGGCCGAACCCCAATGCTGAGTCTCCAACTCTGGTTTGAAAGTTGTAAGAGGGGAAATCCATAGTTACCAGACTCCTCGAGCAGACTTTGCTTGGAAAAGGGGATGATCACTGGGTCCTGAGGTAAAGGAGTATCACTCTCTGCAGCAGAAGTCCCTCAAGAGGTCTAGCCACCCTCCTCCCCAGCAGCAGTTGGAGCCAGGTTACCTGGACTGGGGGCATCAGGCTGCAGAGCTGGGAAGTCGTTGTCAAACAGGAAGGTGCTATCGTACTGGGGATTCACCTACCGACAAGGATAGGCTAGAAGCACTCACTGCCCCATACCACCAGTTACCTGGTGGGCTTCAAAGACTGGACAGGCTACAAGGGAGTAGGGAAGGCCCACCCTAGGGGACCAAAAAGCTTGGTGGGATATGACCCAGAAGGAGGTTCACTATCCCTGTGGGTGGAGGACAGTTCTAAGAGGGAACTACTCCCCGTGGCCCAGCCTGCAGATGCAGGGCTCTACAGGCTTACCTCTCCGTTGGCTCGGATGGCCCCAGGACACAGAGGGTTGAGAGGGTCATGGCGGGGCACTGTCTTCAGAAGCTGGGGCTCCACTTGACCCTGCCAGGGCCGCTTCATGCGGTGAGCTGACACCAGCACCCACTCATCCTGCAGCGGGTTGTAGCGGATATGCTGATGGTCTGGGGGCAGACAGTCAAGATCAGTCCTCAGAGCTCTCTAGCTCCCTCTCTCCTGGGTCTCACCCACCAGCAGGCCCAAGCTCGGGAGCGCCCTCTCGGCCCTGTCCCGCTCAGGAGCTAGAGGCCCAGGATTGGACTTTCCCAGCGCCAATTGGCCTGCTGCTCGTACAGGCCTGCAGACTGTACGCCTTGTCGGTCTGGCTCGGGATGAGCGTTCCAACCTTCGGAGGGGACGAAAGCTTCCTAAGGAAGGGGAGGGCTCGGCTCCGCGCCCCAGCGAGTCCCTGCCGCGGTGCAGTTACCGTTTGCCCGGAAGGTTGCTGCTGCGGCGTCCGCCTCTGACGCCTGCTGGCGTTGCTGAGGATCGGTTCCACTGCGCGACATGAGGCCACCGGGGGATCCGCTGGAAAATCTGCAGGGCCGTGCCTCACCTTTCACTTTCTCCGTCCACACCACCCCTCCCCGCGCCGCCCCCGATGATTGGCCAGCCGCCAGCACGTGACTGACTGACTGGGCTGCCCTGCCACCTGGGGGCGGGGCTCAGAACAGCTGTGAACCCTGGGGGCCGACATTGATGATCCTACTTCACCCAGAGCTAGAGCCACTACACTGGAAGAACCTCTGTGAAAGCTGCCTACTGCAGAATCCTTGGGCTCCAGGATGCCTACAGGACTTGCTTGCTGCAATCATTCATTTGATCTTTCATTCAGCAAATATTTACCAAGCATCTAGCATGTGCTAGGCACCTAGGCTGTGTAAAGCATTGGGATGCACATGTCAGGCATGGCCTCTGCCCTGCCTGAGCTTACATTCTAGGGCGAGTAAGGATATGACCCTGGATCAACAGCGCCTCAGTCACCTGCTCAGTGGCTGTAGCGCAGGAGAGGCAAACTTGGTGGGGTCTGTGTGGAGTACTTCACCATAACCATATCCTATCCCCAAAAGCAAAAACAGATTTGGGAAAAAGGGCTAAGTAACCATATTCTCTTTTTCTCTCACTCTTGCTCTCCTTCCTCTCTCTCTCTCTCTCTTTTTCATACACACACCAAGACAGCACAAGAAGTGGGAGGGGTAAAAGGGCTATAAAAAAAAATCTAAAAATGGCCGGGCTCGGTGGCTCACGCCTGTAATCCCAACACTTTGGGAGACCAAGGCAGGCGGATCACAAGGTCAAGAAATTGAGACCATCCTGGCCAACATGGTGAAACCCCGTCTCTAGTAAAAAAAAAAAAAAAAAAAATTAGCTGGTCTTGGTGGCGTGCACCTGTAGTCCCACCTACTCGGGAGGCTGAGGCAGGAGAATCACTTGAACCCAGGAGGCAGAGGTTGCAGTGAGCCGAGATTGTGCCCATGCACTCTAGCCTGGCGACAGAGCAGACTCCGTCACAAAAAAAAAAAAAAAAGTACAAGAAAGTCTAAAAATGTGGAGAGTACAGGACTATCAGAAGCTCCAGCCACCATCTAGGTGGGGCCTAGTGTTTCCTTTACACATCCCCTTCCCTTTTCTAAATTTTCCTTGGATGGGACCAATTGGCTAACACTAGGATAAAATTCAAATTAATTCCTCCCCTGGTACTTTTGTTTGTTTGTTTGTTTGAGAGAGAGTCTCACTCTGCCACCCAGGCTGGAGTGCAGTGGCGTGATCTTGGCTCACTGCAACCTCCACCTCCCAGGTTCAAGCGATTCTCCTGCCTCAGCCTCCAAGTAGCTGGAATTAGAGCTGTGTGCCACCACACTGGGCTAATTTATGTATTTTTAGTAGAGACGGGGTTTCACATGTTGGCCAGGCTGGTCTTGAACTCCTGACTTCAAGTGATCCTCCTGCCTCAGCCTCCCAAACAGCTGGCCCCCAGTACTTTTAAAGAGCCATCTAAATATTGTCTAAACCTCTTCCCCATTTCACATTGGAGCCCAGAGGACTCAAGGTCACCCAGAGAATTAGTGGCCAAGCTGAGATTTGAATGCAAGTTTCCAAGGCTTTTCCCAGTGCTGTGAGATGCCTCTGAGGCTTCAGTGGAATGCAGGACAGAGACCCAGTGAGTTAGAAGTTGAGCCATAGCAGGGACATCCCTTCCCCCAATCAAGACCAAGCCAAGCCAGGTGTTTTGCAATTGAGCTGCAAAAACTAGGTCATGGGTCATTTACTTGATCTCTGCCCTAGGGTCCTCAGACTGGAATAGGAAGAGGCTACCTTCAGAGGTAGGGGGCAGGGAGCTGAGGACTGAGAAACAGGGGTTTTACCTGTCCCACTGGCTGTTCATATTACCCAAAGAGGTGAGACAGGAACAGGAGATCTGCTTTTCCATTCTCTCATTTATATTTGTTTGAGTGACTAGAGCTTGTAGACAGCTCCATTTTCCCAAGAACACCAGTGCTTCAGTGCCGCCCCCTGAATCATGCTAATTAAATCCTGACCCCCATCAGGAACATCTCTTCAGGAACATCTCCATAATTCTCCTCTATGACTCCCCAAGGTCATTTTTTGGAGGAAGAGGAGAATGACTAAGATGGGCCTAACCAGCTCCCTCCCTGCCAGATCCCAGAGGTGTTGTTACAGTAAAGAGATCCCAATCCAGACCCCAAGAGAGGATTCTTGGATCTCACACAAGAAAGAATTCAAGGTGAGTCCATAGTGTGAAGTGAAAGCAAGTTTATCAGGAAAGTGAAGGAATAAAAAAATGGCCACTCCATAGACAGAGCACCCCTGAGGGCTGCTGGTTATCCATTTATATATATATATATATATATATATATATATATATATATATATATATATATATATATATAATTTTTTTTTTTTAAGACGGAGTTTCACTCTGTTGCCCAGGCTGGAGTGCAGTGGCTTGATCTCGGCTCACCGCAACCTCTGCCTCCCAGGTTCAAGTGATTCTCCTGCCTCAGCCTCCCGAGTAGCTGGAATTACAGGCACCCACCATCATGACTAGCTAATTTTTGTATTTTTTAGAGACAGAGTTTCACCATGTTGGCCAGGCTGGTCTTGAACGCCTGACCTCAGGTAATCTGTCCATCTCGGCCTTCCCAAAGTGCTGGGATTACAGACATAAGTCACCACACCTGGAAAGGCCTGGAAAAGCTTTCTGAAAGACCAGATAGGGGAGGTGTAGGCCCAGATGATCCCAGAAAGCTGTTCCTGGAATGGGGAGCAGAGACCAAATTTGGGGGCTAATCCCTGCTGCCCAGGGTTCTTAGTGAATTGTCGAGTCGGGAATGCCACAGAAGCCAGAACCAATACAAAAACATGTTCCCTCAATCCTGTATTCTCCTCTAGATAATCCTTTCTTTATCCTTAATTTCTCTGCCAAGTTTCTTTTTTTTTTTTTTTTTTTTTTTTTTTAGATGGAGTCTCGCTCTGTCGCCCAGGCTGGAGTACAGTGGTGCAATCTAGGCTCACTGCAACATCCGCCTCCTGATTCAAGTGATTCTCCTGCCTCAGCCTCCCCTGTAGCTGGGATTACAGGCGTGCACCACCACACCCAGCTAATTTTTGTATTTGTAGTAGAGACAGGGTTTCACCACGTTGGCCAGGCTGGTCCCAAATTCCTGACCTCAGGTGATCCGCCTGCCTCTGCCTCCCAAAGTATTGGGATTACAGGCGTGAGCCACCGTGCCCGGCCTGCCAAGTTTCTTAAAAACAGAGGCCATCTTTCTGGTCTCTACTCTTAGCTGCATGGTATATTGTAACACATCTTTTGCCCTATATTTGTCAGGGTAAGTAATCTTAATTGCTGTAACAAACACTCCCAAAACTCAATGGCTTAGCACTACAGTCAATTCTGGGGGTAACAGGGAGCTCTGTTCCAAGCAGTATTTAGGGATCCAGGTGCCATCCATCTAGTAGCTATGCCATGTCCTAGGGTCTCAGAATACTCCACTAGAGATCCTCTATAACTACAGTAATAGACATGGGAAGAAAGAAAATGTAAAGAACTTCAAGCTGGGCATAGTACTATGTGCCTGTAGTCCCCCAGCTCTTGGGAAGCCAGGGTGGGAGATCACTTGAGCCCAAGAGTTTGATACCAGTCTGGGAGTGACATAGCACAATCCTGTCTCTTAAAAAGAGAAAGAGAAAAAAAAAAAAAAGAATTTCAGAGGAGACTTTAGGAGCCAGCCCTAGAAATGTCATACATCATTTCTATCTATATTTCATTGGCCAGAATGCAATCACATGATCCAGAGTAGACTGTGGAATGTAATCTAGCTGTCCAAGAGCAAAAGGAAATGGATTTGTGAATGTATAGCATTGTCTCTGCCACATGCCCCTACTGAGAAGTCTAATGATCATTTCCCATCATCTCATTGAATCTCACCATTATATTTCACTGTGTTAACCCTTCATTCCATCACTCTTTTTTTAATTTTTTTAGATGGAGTTTCGCTCTCATTGCCCAAACTGGAGTGCAATGGCGTGCTCTCAGCTCACCATAACCTCCGCCTCCCAGGTTCAAGCGATTCTCCTGCCTCAGCCTCCCGAGTAGCTGGGATTACAGGTATGCGCCACCACGCCTGGCTAATTTTGTATTTTTAGAAGAGATGGGGTTTCTCCATGTTGGTCAGGCTGGATCTTGAACTGGCAACCTCAGGTGATTCCCCTACCTCGGCCTCCCAAAGTGCTGGGATTACAGGTGTGAGCCACCGTGCCTGGCCCATTCCATCACTCTTGAGAAAGAAAAGAAACTTTTTATCTGAGAAATGCCAGCCTCTTTTAATTATCAGGCCCAGAGAGGCATTAAAATGTGACAGCATGGGCCTGGCGCGGTGGCTCACGCCTGTAATCCCAGCAATTTGGGAGGCCAAGGTGGGCGAATCACGAGGTCAGGAGTTCGAGACCAGCCTGGCCAACATGGTGAAACCCTGTCTCTACTAAAAATACAAAAAATTAGTTGGGCATGGTGGCGGGCGCCTGTAATCCCAGCTACTCAGGAGGCTGAGGCAGGAGAATTGCTTGAACCTGGGAGGCAGAGGTTGCAGTGAGCCAGGATCATGCCACTGCACTCCAGCCCCGGCGACAGTGCAAGAGACTCCGTCTCAAAATAATAATAATAATAATAATAATAATTTTAAAAAGAAAAAAAAAGGCCGGGTGCAGTGGCTCACACTTGTAATCCCAGCACACTGGGAAACCAAGGCGGGCGGGATCACTTGAGGTCAGGAGTTTGAGACCAGCCTGGCCATTATGGTGAAACCCTGTCACTACTAAAAATACAAAAAGCTGAGCATAGTGGCAGGTGCCTGTAATTCCAGCTACTTGGGTGGCGGAGGCAGGAGAATCGCTTCAACCCGGGAGGCGGAGGTTGCAGTGAGCCGAGATTGCGCCACTGCACTCCAGCCTGGGCGACAGAGTATGACTCAGTCTCAAAAAAAAAAAAAAAAAAAAGTGACAGCATGTAACAGCAGTCATATCTCACCTTCCCCCACCCCCATGGAGCCAAATAATTACCCCTTGAAGCCACTTGCTATGTGGGCTCTAAATTGATACCACATAGCCATAAAATGCCATAGTCTAGACACCATAACTCATACCCTATAGTTCAACAAGGTATAGCCAATCACTAATCAATGTTGTTTCTGTAAGCCAATGAGAATTCCTGTTAAACAATTTTGTGTCAGCCCACTCCTTGTCCTCTTTTGCCTTTAAAAACTTGCTTGTGGCTGGGCATGATGGTTCATACCTGTAATTCCAGCACTTTGGGAGGCCAAGGCAGGATGATCCCTTGAGCCCAAGAGGTCAAGGCTGCAATGAGCTGTGATCGTGCCACTGAACTCCAGCCTAGGTAACAGAGCAAGATCCGGTCTCAAAAAATAAAAATAGGCCGGGCGCGGTGGCTCACGCCTATAATCCCAGCACTTTGGGAGGCCGAGGCGGGCAAATCACGAGGTCAGAGTTCAAGACCAGCCTGGCCAACATGGTGAAACCCCATCTCTACTAAAAATACAAAAAAATTAGCTGGATGTGGTGGCAGGTGCCTGTAGTCCCAGCTACTCGGGAGGCTGAGGCAGGAGAATTTCTTGAACTGGGAGGCAGAGGTTGCAGTGAGCCGAGATTGCGCCACTGCACTCCAGCCTGGGCGACAGTGGAGACACCATCTCAAAAAAAATAAAATTAAATTAAGTTAAAATAAAGTGGCCAGGTGCAGTGGCTCACACATGTAATCCCACACTTTGGGAGGCCGAGGAGTGTGGATCACCTGAGGTCAGGAGTTAGAGACCAGCCTGGCCAACATGGCAAAAACCTGTCTCCACTAAAACTACAAAAATTAGCCAGGCATGGTGGTGCACACCTGTGGTCCCAGCTACTCGGGAGGCTGAGGGAGGAGGATAGCTTGAACCTGGGAGGCGGGAGTTGCAGTGAGCCAAGATTGCACTACTGCATTCCAGCCTAGGCAACAGAGTAAGAATCCATCTCCAAGAAAATAAAAAATAAAAATAAAAACCACATATAAAAATAAAAAATGCTTGTATCAACATTCCCCAAGGCAACTTGGAAAAGTGTCCCGAGCAGTCGTTCTCTACCTTGGCCCAAATAAACTCTCTATATTAATTTTGCCTCAGCTTTTTTTTTTCCTCACTGTTGTTTTTGTTTGTGTGTTTTTCTTTTTTGAGACAGAGTCTCACTCTGTCGCCCAGGCTGGAGTGCAATGGTGCAGTCTCCACTCACTGCAACCTCCACCTCCCGGGTTCAAACGATTCTCCTGCCTCAGCCCCCCAAGTAGCTGGGCCAAGTGGGTGGCACGCGCCACCGCGCCCGGCTAATTTTTGTATTTTTTAGTAGAGATGGGGTTTCACCATGTTGGTCAGGCTGGTCTCGAACTCCTGACCACGTGATCCACCTGCCTCGGCCTCCCAAAGCGCTGGGATTACAGGCGTGAGCCACCCCGCCCAGCCTGTTTTGTTTTTTTTGAGACGGAGTTTTGCTGTTTCACACTGAGGCTGCAGTGCAATGGCGTGATCTCGGCTCACCGCAACCTCTGCCTCCTGGGTTCAAGTGATTCTCCTGCCTCAGCCTCCTGAGTAGCTGGGATTACAAGCATGCGCCACCACGCCCAGCTAATTTTGTATTTTTAGTAGAGACAGGGTTTCTCCATGTTGGTTAGGCTGGTCTCAAATTCCCAACCTCAGGTGATCCACCCGCCTCGGCCTCCCAAAGTGCTGGGATTGCAGGTGTGAGCCACAGTGCCCGGCCCCTTTTTCTTTTCTTTTTTTTTTAGAGACAGGGTCTCCCTCTGTTGTCCAGGCTGGAGTGCAGTGGCACGATCTTGGCTCATTGCAACATCCACCTTCTGGGTTCAAGCGATTCTTCTGCTTCAGCCTCCCGAGTAGCTGGGACTACAGGCACCTGCCACCACGCCCGGCTAATTTTTTGTATTTTAGTAGAGACGAGGTTTCACCATGTTGCCCAGGGTGGTCTCGAACTTCTGAGCTCAGGAAATCTGCCTGCCCACCTTGGCCTCCCAAAGTGCTGGGACTACAGGTGTGTGCCACTGTGCCTGGCCCTTTTTTTTTTTTTTTTTTTTTTTTTTTTTGAGGCAGAGTCTCCCTCTGTTGGCTCAACTGCAACCTCCACTTCCCAGGCTCAAGCGATCCTCCCACTTCGGCCTCCTGAGTAGCTGGGACTACAGGTGTGCGCCCCCACTCCTGACTAATTTTTGTACTTTTTGCAGAGATGGGGTTTCACCATGTTGCCAAGGCTGGTCTCGAATACCTGGACTCAAGTGTTCCGTCTGCCTCAGCCTCCCAAAGTGTTGGGATTACAGTTATGAGCCACCTCGCCCGGCCTCAGTTTCTTTCTTTAAGGTCAAAAATGTATGAGGCTACTTTTTTCCAGTTCCTTTATGTTTTATATATATAACCATCACATAAAATTCTCACCATGTGAGGCACTAACTGCTTTATAAATATTAACCCATCTAATCTCATCACAATGAAGATATGTACTATGAGGTAGGTACTTATCTCCATTCCATTTTACAGGTAAGAAAACTAAGTTACAGAGATTTTAAGTAAACTGCCCAAGATCAGACAACTAGTAGGTAGCAGGAGCCAGGCCTTGAACTCAGGCAGTCCAGCTCCAGAGTTTATTTCTTAATCACTGCACAATGCTACCTCTTTTCTCTTTTGTTTCTTTTCCTTTTTGCTTTCTTCTTCCTCTGCCTACCCTTTGCTGTTGGTGCTCTCCAGGGCTCTGTCTTTAGCCTTATCTTACTCTATTCTCTCTCCCTGTGAGATTTCATCCATTCTTAGAGGTTTTCTGTAGACTCTCCAGTGAGATCTCTAAGCTGGGGAGTAGGACCATTGTTTCTAGCCATATCCCTAATGGCCACCACAGAACTTGGCACATACAAGTGCCAACAAAGTATCTGAATGAATGACAACTCCCAGCTCTATCTCCAGACTGGAGCTGAGCTTCGAGACCTGGACACTCAACTGCCCACTAGACATGCAAAGGATGTTAGCCAAATAAGGGGAAAGTGGGGATAGGATAAAGGGGGAAAGAGTATTCCAGGAAGAAGAGATCAAGCCCTGCCAACTCCATTTCCAGAGTTGTTAAGCTCATTTCTTTCTTCCATCTCCACTGACACAGACCTTCCCTCTTACCTGGCCCACAGTCATGGTCTCCCTGACTCATCTTGCTCCCCTCCACTCGACAGTCCTGTGCCACTCGGTGGCAAAATCTAATCCCCTTCCTCCCTTGCTGATAACCCTCAGCTGGTTTACAAGGCCTCCTCTCACATTTTGTGCCGCAGAACAGAGAAGGAATTGTAGGCCCCTGAAGACCCCAAGCTGTCTCTCCTCGGAGGCCTTTGCTCTAGGGGCTGGTCCCTGTGGGCTGGCATGCCCCTTCTGCGAGCTCTTAAAGACACTGCTCAGGTGTCACCGCCTCTGGAATGCCCACCCTGGGGCTCCCAGCTTGAACTGCCTCCTCTCCGCTTCAGTCCTGGTAAAGGCGGGCCTTAACAATCGTTGAGTCCCAGAAGGCTTCACTTCCGGGCTCGTCTGCTTCACCAGCCAGTGAGCTCGGGCGAGCCCGTCCATTCTGGGTCTCACTATCCCCACACCTATCCGTATGTAGAGTGGCGCTAGCTAGGTCAGACCTCGCCTGAAGACCCTGACATCTGCCGCTGGGCGACTTGGCCCCGCCCCCTTGCCTCCCTTGCGCGGCACCGCCCCACTCCTCCGTGCTCCCCCCGAGGAAATGGTTCAACCGAAGGGCGGTGCCAAGGTGCCCGGGCCGCTCCGATTGGTCAGGGCGAGCCGTACCACGGCGGTGGCGGGGGAGCGCTTCGTGGGCAGCCGGCGGGCTCCGAGGCCGTGAGCGCAAAGCCTCAGGCCCCGGCTCCCTCCTGAGCTGCGCCGTGCCAGGCCGCCCGCCGGGATGCAGTGGGCCGTGGGCCGGCGGTGGGCGTGGGCCGCGCTGCTCCTGGCTGTCGCAGCGGTGCTGACCCAGGTCGTCTGGCTCTGGCTGGGTACGCAGAGCTTCGTCTTCCAGCGCGAAGAGATAGCGCAGTTGGCGCGGCAGTACGCTGGTGAGCGGGCAGAGGGCAGGGAGGGGAGCGGCCGGCCTGGGAGCGGAGCCTAGGGTTCCGAAGGCGCCATCCCCGGACCTAGGACCGGTGCCAGCCCTGACTCCGCCGCCCCTCTGCCTCCGCCAGGGCTGGACCACGAGCTGGCCTTCTCTCGTCTGATCGTGGAGCTGCGGCGGCTGCACCCAGGCCACGTGCTGCCCGACGAGGAGCTGCAGTGGGTGTTCGTGAATGCGGGTGGCTGGATGGGCGCCATGTGCCTTCTGCACGCCTCGCTGTCCGAGTATGTGCTGCTCTTCGGCACCGCCTTGGGCTCCCGCGGCCACTCGGGTCAGTGCTAGCGGCGGGCCAGACTGGGAGGCTGGGGTTGTAAAGGGGCCCATGCCCTCCTTTCTGATGTTTGGCTGGGCCATGCAATGGCGCGAATACCCTGATAGTGTCATGTGCGATTGTCACTCAGGGCGCTACTGGGCTGAGATCTCGGATACCATCATCTCTGGCACCTTCCACCAGTGGAGAGAGGGCACCACCAAAAGTGAGGTCTTCTACCCAGGTGGGTAAGAAGGCTCTGTCAGAGAAGTGGGTCCCTTCACGCGGGGGGTGCCCACAATTGCGGGGAGCATGGCATGGAAAAGGAGTGTGTTGGGGGGGCCCTCCTCATGGTTCCCTTCCTCCACCCTCCCATAAGCCACAGGTGATTGGTTGGGGCAGAGCTGAGGGACTCTTGCTTTCCTCTGTCAAGGGGAAACAAAACATAACAACTTCCTATTAAACATGTCTGATTTTTATCTGCCCAGGCACAATTTTGCCCAGACAGTATTCCAACAACTGTTGGGGAGACAATGGGTAATCAGAAATGCTCTCAATACCCCAAAAGACAAGACAGACAGTTATCTTTTTATTTGTTTGTTTTTTGAGATGGAGTCTTGCTCAGTCGCCCAGGCTGGCGTGCAGTGGCGCGATCTCGGCTCACTGCAAGCTCCGCTTCCCGGGTTCACGCCATTCTCCTGCCTCAGCCTCCCGAGTAGCTGGGACTACAGGCGCCCGCCACCACGCCCGGCTAATTTTTTTTGTATTTTTAGTAGAGACGGGGTTTCACCATACCAGCCAGGATGGTCTCGATCTCCTGACCTCGTGATCCACCCGCCTCGGCCTCCCAAAGTTCTGGGATTACAGGTGTGAGCCACCGCGCCCGGCCGCTCCCCTGCCTTTTTTTTTTTTTTTTTTTTTTAATAGTGAAACAATTTACTTAAGAAATAGAGCACTGGACTTCCCAGTATATTTGAGGTTGGGTGTATGCATCGCAGGCATGGTGGTTGAACAGCTACACTTTTCAGATAAAGCCTCACAAGTCCTGGAACTACCCCTTTCCTAGCTACAAGCCCAGCCCAGGTTTAGCTAAATTTCTGCTTGATTCGAGTGAGGCTTGGGAGTGCAGACTTCCATACAGTGGGTCCATGGCCAAGCGAGGTAGCCGTCCATGGCTTCTCCAAAGAGAGGACGTGGGTCAGATGATGCCACAGAACATTTAGGAGTGGCCATCTGGGCCAGCCCAGTGAGGTAGGGCTTTTTGTTTTTCTGAAGCTCCCTCTCCATTCCCCACCCCTAGTTAGTCCATGGGCCAGGGAAGCAGCAGCCATGGAAGGGCAGGGCAGAGCTGGCTTTTCACTTGGGTGCTCCCTGTCCCCCAGGGGAGACGGTAGTACACGGGCCTGGTGAGGCAACAGCTGTGGAGTGGGGGCCAAACACATGGATGGTGGAGTACGGCCGGGGCGTCATCCCATCCACCCTGGCCTTCGCGCTGGCCGACACTGTCTTCAGCACCCAGGACTTCCTCACCCTCTTCTATACTCTTCGCTCCTATGCTCGGGGCCTCCGGCTTGAGCTCACCACCTACCTCTTTGGCCAGGACCCTTGACCAGCCAGGCCTGAAGGAAGACCTGCGGATAGACAGGAGCGGGCAGGCCCGCACATATCCACTTGCTGGAGCCCATGTTTACAGACAGGGACATACACCATGCAGATCCTGAGTTCCTGCTGTATGAGCAGGGATATCCATGCTTATGTATCCAAACACAGAGACCCATGGGAACAAATGAGACACATATAGATACTGAGACCTGTGTGTACAGTAGGACCATGCACTCACACCCATCTGGAGAGGGAGCCCCCGGTATACCAAGGGAGCCAGTTGTGTTCAGACACACACATCACAGCTTGACTCACTAACTGAGGCCTTTCCATAGCTCCACAGCTTCCCACCTCCTCCCCACCAAACCGGGGTTCTAGAGTTAAGGATGGGGGAGGGTATTATACTGCCTCAGTCTGACTCCTCAACCCAGCAGCAATTTGAGGGGATGAGGGGGAAGAGGAGCTGCCTTTTGGAGGCCCCCTTCACCTGCAGCTATGATGCCCTTCCCCTTCTCCCCTGTCCTCACCATATGCCTTATCCCCATTCTACTCCCCTGCTATGCAAGTGCCCCTGTGGCTTGTCCCCAACCCCCTCAGCAACAAAGCTCAGCTGGGGAACGAGAGTAATTTGAAGAATGCTTGAAGTCAGCGTCTTCCATTCCAGAAAGACCCCCATTCTTCCTTTGGGGGTATGATGTGGAAGCTGGTTTCAGCCCAGGACCCACCACTGAGGAGAGGATCTAGACAGGTGGGCCTAATTCCAAGGGGCCCTTCCTGGCCTGGAGAAGGCCTTTTACACACACACAACACATACACACACACACACACACACACATATCACAGTTTTCACACAGCCCCTGCTGCATTCTCTGTCCATCTGTCTGTTTCTATTAATAAAGATTTGTTGATCTGTTCCATCTTTTTGTGTGTCTGAGCAGCCGGAAAAAGCCTCTGACCCCTGGGGACCTCAGGAAGATCTCTCTCTTGCTGTGTGATTCATGGTAGATTTTTTTTTTTTTTTTTTAAGAGATGGGGTCTCCTCTGTTGCCCAGGCTGGAGTGCAGTGGCACAGTGACATGATCATAGCTCCCTGCAGCCTTGAACTCATGGTCCCAAACAATTTTCCTGCCTTAGCCTTATGAGTAGCTGGGACCTTATGAGTAGCAAATGCCACCATGCCTGGTTAGCTTTTTAAATTTTTTTTAGAAATGGGGTCTTGCTATGTTGCCCCGGCTGATCTCCAGCTCCTGGCCTCAAGTGATCCTTCCTCAGTCTCCAGAGTAGCTGAGATAACAGAAACAAGCCACCATGCCTGACAAGACAGTGGCTTTTGACTAGTAGGGACTATATACTTGAGTGTGCCTTAGAATCACCTAAGACACTCTTTGAGTCAGTAACTCAGACTACTGAGCTCCATTGCCAGAGATCAACATGTTCAATAAGATTTCTTCCAACACAGCTGCGAATGCCACAATTTGAGAAATTCAGGGCAGGGTGACCTGGAGTGTGTCTTGGTCTTACCTCTGCCGGTGCAATCCTGGGAACAGTCCTAAGAATCTTCCCCTGGCTGACCACAGGGTGGCAGTGTGCACCCACTTTTTAGCTGAAAGGCATAGTTCTCAGTTGGCTTTTTTTCTGGGCTCCCAGAGTAGTGTCTGCCCCCACCCAAAACAGGAGATCCTCCAGTCTATGGTCTGCCTTCTCCAGGACCCACCACTAATGTGGAGGCTCCCACAATGAAAGGAAGGCACACTACCTGGCAGTATGTGAGGTAGGTAGGGCCTGGACTCAGGTAAGGCAAGAGAGGTGCCTAAAGTGCATTCATTCCCAAAGACCCTGCTCTTGCCTTAACTTCTGCATTTTACACACCAAGCATGCCTCACCCTCGTCCTGGCCCTGTTCTGAGGGTAAGGCATAGATCACTCCTGCTTCTCAGGATTCCTGGTATTTTAAAAATGGAAGAAACATGGTTATAAAAATTAGATATTTTAACATTCTAAAGAACACAAATCCGAAAGACTATATGTATAACTGCATTTAGAAACAACATCAAAAGTCAATTTGTGACTGAATGTGGAGTCCAGGTAAGTTGGCCAACCTGAAACCGACTCTTCACCCCCAATACCACCGTGTCAGGCATAGTAGGCCCTGGCTGGCTCCTCTCCACTCACCCCAGGTTGCAAATCCATGCCTCCTGGGGGATTCCTACTCTGTAACCCAGCTCTGCCTCTAGGCTCAGAGCCCACATGTCAGGGATGACCCAGCTTGCCCTGTCATTCCTCCCAAACGTCCACAAAGGACTAGGCTCCCAGGCCCCTCCTAATCTCTGCTGCTAAATCCGTTGGTCGTTTCATAGTTCTTAGCTTTCATTTGACACAGGGTAATCACTCTGAAGGCACTCTTAGTTTCTGGGACACTACTCCTCCTTAATTGCCTCCTTTACTGGAATTTTTTTTTTTTTTTTTTTTAGTAGAGACAAGAGTTTCACCACGTTGGCCAGGCTGGCCTCAAACTCCTGACCTCAAGTAATCCGCCCATGTTGGCCTTACAAAGTGCTGGGATTACAGGTGTGAGCCACTGCACCCAGCTACTGGATTCCTATCTCCTCATTCTCTGACTTTCTTGGGCTTAGTCCTCAAACCTCTTCTGTTTACACCCCTTCCCAGGTGATTCTGTGACTTTACCATCTATATATCTTGACTTCTAAATTTTTGTCTCAGCCTAAATCTCTGCCCTGAGCACCAGAGTTGGAAATCTTACTGCCTTCATCTCTACTCAACATCTCCACTTGGCTGTCTAATAGGTATCTCAGACTTGAGATATCCAAAGCAAACCGAATTCTCTCCCAGCCCCACACCACCACCATCCTGTAGTCTTTACTGTGAATTAAGGGCACCTCCATTTACCCAGCTGCCCAGAGTCATTTTGGACACATCTGTTTCTCTCATGTCCCACATCCAATCCATCATCAAATACTGTTTTTATCTGCAGAATATATCCAGACTCTAATCATGCCTTCTCACCTCCACTGCCCCCACCCTGGTCTAAGACACCATCATCTCTTGCCTATAGACTATTGCAATGGCCCCCTAACTGATCTTCACGCATGCATCTTGTGTGGAGGGTTCTCCACGCAGCAGCCAGTCAGACTTTCACTCTCTGCTGAGACCTAACCAGTGGCTTTCCATCTCATTCTGTCCTTTCACTCCTTACAAGGGCCTACTCCAAGGCCCATGTTTCCTCTGATCAGACATTCCAACCACTCACCCCTTCAGCCCCCCTATTCCAACCCAGTGGCCTCCTTGCTTTTCTTCCAACACATCAAGCAAAATTCTATCCCAGGATATTTGTACCTGCTATTCTGACCGTAGTGCTCGTCCCTAGGTATCCACGTAGTCATAGCTCTCTTCCTCCCCTCCTTCAATTCCTGCTCACTGAGTTCTTCAACACTTATATAATAGTATCTCTTGCATGGTGATTTGAAATACCTTCACAAAATTTTTGATGCTCTGTCCTTCAAGAGGTGAAGCCTAAATTCCTTCCCCTTGAGTGGACTAGACTTAATTATGTACTTTCACAAATAATGTGGCATAAATAACAGTGTGTGACTTCTAGGACTAGGCCATAAAAAGCATTGCTGTCTAAAGAGTCTCTCTTGGATCATTCTGGGGGAAACCAACTGCCATGTTGAGAGGACATACAAGCAATCCTATGGAGAGGCCCATATTGCGGGGGGAACAGGCCCCCTGCCAAGGGCCATGCAAGTGAGCCATTTTGGAAGTAGATCCTCCAGTTCCAGTCAAGCCTTCAGATGACTGCATCCCTGGCCAACCTTTTTACTACAACACCTTAGAGGACAATGAGTCAGAACCATCCAGACCCACAGAATTGTGAGAAAATAAATGTTTTTGTTTTAAGCTGCTAAATTATGGGGTGATTTGTTACACAGCAATAGGTAACTAATGCCCCCTTTTATGTTCCCCCCAACCCAGCTACATTTTTCTCCATGGTACTTACCACTATCTGACACACTGTATATTTCCCCCACTTAGAATTGTACCATTATAATAAGGACTTTGTCTTATTTGCTCCTGTGTCCAACAGTGCCTGGCAAAAAAAATAGATAATAAATATGTGTTGGATGAATGAAGCATGGGTCTCTGAAGGTCTAGGTCTGTCTCCGTCTCTGTGAGGTATAAGACCAGACTGCGGGTATGAGAGGCAGCCTTTCCTTTTCACAGATGAAGAGAGATAAACCAAGTCCCAGTCAAGCATATTCCTTCCCCTCAGCCCTTCCCAGTTGTAGCCCTCCTGGCCCAGACCCCAAAAGTGGATTAACTTTGCTTGATTGATTTGGGAGCTGGGGGAGTGACTGCCCAGCCCCTTACCATTCAACCCAAACCCTACAAAGCGATCTCCAAACACTCAGAACTGGAATTTCCCCAAGCCAATTCCTACCTTTCTAGGAAGACTCTGGCCACCTACCTTTGTCCATGGACCTCCTCTGAGCAGCCAGGGGAAGCTGTGGTGGGGAAAAGGGAGCAAGCAGGGCACAAGGGTTCTGTGGATTGCTACCCTCTGCTCTCCAGTCTTCCAGTAGACTTCCAGGGCATGTCTGTCTGCCTGGCACATTCACTGATTCTCCCCTCCCAGCATCAGGGAGGGTTGGGCAGAGGAGGAGGCTTGGCTCTGCCCCAGGATACTCACACCAAACAAAGCCATGGGGGAGGAGGCATCAGTACCGACAGTGATTGGATCACTGGAGCTTCTGGAGGCTGGGGGGTTCTGATGGGCTCAGAGGTCTGAAATCTGAGGTGGAGGACACTGGGGCAGCCAAAGGAATGAATGGGGTGAGCCTCAGCGTGGCCAGGAATGGGCCATAGAGAACCAGGACTTAGTGCTGCAGTAGAAGCTGGGCACAGAAGGGTGCAGAGAAGGGTGGCGGCTGGAGGCAGGGAGAGCAGGGAGGAGGCACCCACCATGGTCAGACCCACCATGGTCAGAAGAGCCGGTGGTTTGAGCCAGAGCAAGCTGAGGCTGAGAGGAGTGGACTGATTGGGAGAGGACAAGGGAGGAGGGAGGAGACAAAGGTCGTGTTTGGATTCCTGCCTTCTGGGGGTGTGAGGTCAGAAGACAGTCTCTGGTGCCACAGTTTCATACCTATGCCAAGTGTCACCCCTACAGACACCTGCTGTTCACTTACACACTTGGCATCACCTCACAGTGTCCCTCTGTTTGGTAAGTGGTCCCCTTGGGCACAGGAAGAAATAGGAAGTATGAGGATTCCCGGGAGGAGTGGGGTCCAGGCTGTTCAGAGCAGAAATTCTGAGAGGCCTGCCACTCAGAACCCCCAAATAAGGAACAGCATTTCAGCGTCTTGGGAATAGTTAGGGGGAGGGCGCAAAGCAGTGGGCTGAGGGGGTCTGGAGATACAGATGTGGCAGTCAGGCACACATAGGTGGAGAATGTGTGTGAACATGGGCGAAGTGCCGGTCACTGTTGAAACAAACCTATGATGAGTACCAGAGGTTCATTATACTATTCACTTGTCTATGTTTCAAAATTTTCATAATACAGGCTGGGTACGGTAGCTCATGCCTGTAATCCCAGCACTGTGGGTGGCCAGGGTGGGTGGATCACTTGAGGTCAGGAGTTCGAGACCAGCCTAGCCAAAATGGTGAAACCCCATCTCTACTAAAAAGACAAAAATTAGCCGGGTCTGGTGGTGGACGCCTGTAATCCCAGCTAATTCCAGCTATTCGGGAGGCTGAGGCAGTAGAATCACTTGAACCTGGGAGGCGGAGGCTGCAGTGAGCCCAGATCGCGCCACTGCACTCCAGCCTGGGTGACAGAGACTCTGTCTCCAAAAAAGAAAAAAAAGAAAAGAAAGAAAAAGAAAAGAAAAGAAAATTTCCATAATAGAATGTCAAAAGAGACAAAAACTGTGTGTGGCTGTGTATCTGCATGCGGTGAGTGTGCAGTCAGCTTAAAGACCTCTGAGAGTGTGTGAGTGCATAGGTGTGGGTCCACCACCATGTGCACTCATGTGTGCAAACCGCAGCATGCCCGCAGTGGGGGACAGCACGTAGGCAGGGCAGGGGTGCTCAAGGCAAAGGGAGAAGCTTCTATTCTGACCAGACCCTCCACGCACACCCCAGCATCTTGCAGAGGGATTCCCCTCTTGATCACAGCGTGCCCAGGCCATTGGCACTGTGGTGACCATGTCACGGAACGTGTGAGACTGGGAAGCTATGCGCCTGAACTTGTGACAAGGTGTGTTGGTGTGTGGATGCGGCTATTTGTATGTGGAAGCCCAGTGCCGAGTGTGGGTGTCGGGGGCACGACTTGTGAGGCTGGGCGGGGCTCTGGTCCGGAGTCCGGTGGCGGTAGAGCCCTCATTTTCGCACGATTCCCCCGCAGCTTTCCAGCGCCCCCTGCCCCCGAAGCTGGCTGGAAAGAAGGTGGGAGACACCTGTTGGGGAGCTGAGAGCGGCAGATCCCACAGGGGCCTCTCCCCATGCGCCCCGCCCGCCCTGCCCCGCTCGGGTCCCGCCCCCGCGGCCGCCGCAAGCAGCGCGGCGAGTGAGCGCACAGCCGCCAGAGGAGCACAGGGCGGCGGGAGCGCACCGCCGGGACCCAGCCGAGGCCAGGGCCGCCTGGGAGGCGGGCGGAGCAAAGGCAGCGCCGTGGAGACGCCAGGGGCAGCGGGCCACGCCAGGCAGGTGAGTGCGGCCGCGGGGCGCCCGGAGCGAGGGAGCCGGGCGTCGCGACTCTGCCGCCTCCTGCCCGTCCGGTCCCGTGCCCGTCCCAGGCTCTGCCCCACCGCCCTCCATCCCCGCGACTCCTTGGTCCCTGTCCTCTGCCCCTCTCTCCGGCTGTTTTTCCCGTCCCTGTCTCTGTCGGTCCCTCTCTATTTAACTGTCTCTTTCTAATCTCTCTCTTCTGTCCGTTTCCTGCTGTCTTGGTCTTTCCCTATATCTCAACCCCTGTCTATTTGTCTATCTCCGCCTCTGTCTCTCCGTCTCTGTCCGTCTCTGAGCTACCTGTCACTTAGGTCTTTTATCTGTTGCTCCTCTACCTCTCTTACCCTCCCTGTCTCTCTACCCAATATTCTATCTCTCTCCATCTCTGTCTGTCTACCCTGTCTCTGCCTGATACCTCTGCCTCTCTCCATCTTGGTCCCTCTCAGTCTCTGTGTCACCCCACTTCTGTCTCTCCTTGTCACCCTGTTCCATCTCTATTTTCACATCTCCCTGTCATTGTCTCTGTCGGACATCCCCCTTCTCCTTTTCTTTCTCTCTCCCTTCCTTCACCATTTCCCGATGTCTCTTGGTCCCCGTCACCCTCTCTGATCTGCTCACTCTTCCAGTCCTCAGTCAATGGCCATTTGATTCCCCGGGTCTGGTCCTGTTTCTGTTCACCTCTGGGAAAGCCATCTTTCTGCCTCTTTCCTTGTGACCCCTGCACTTCCCTGAATCCATGACCACCTCCCCCTGTGTTGGGGGGCTCTGGGGGCAGTAGGGCCCAGCACCCATAATTCCCTCCCCCACAGGCGGCCCTTTCCTCGGGGTCCCGCCTGGTACCAGGGACCCCCTCAGCTGGGGGACTGCGCCTGGAAGCTGTCATGGAGGCCCTGCAGAAGCAGCAGGCAGCTCGGCTGGCCCAGGGGGTGGGGCCATTGGCCCCTGCATGCCCGCTGCTGCCACCGCAGCCTCCCCTGCCTGACCACCGGACCCTACAGGCCCCTGAGGGGGCCTTGGGGAATGTTGGGGCTGAGGAAGAGGAAGATGCTGAAGAAGATGAGGAGAAGCGGGAGGAAGCCGGGGCAGAGGAGGAGGCAGCTGAGGAGAGCCGTCCAGGGGCCCAGGGCCCCAGCTCGCCTTCTAGCCAGCCCCCTGGACTCCATCCCCACGAGTGGACCTACGAGGAACAATTCAAGCAGGTAGGACCTATGCCCTCAATGTCCGGCCCTCTTCCCTATCTCTCTCTTCTGGCAAAAGCACAGCCAGGTGATTAGCAGCCCACCCACCCCCACCACCCTCTGCAAGATGAAAAGAGACACAGAGACACGGAGACCTATAGAAAGACAGAGAGAAGATTGGAGGATAGTGACAGGGAGGGAAAGACAGATGCCTGGCTAATTTTTTAAAATTTCTTTTGTAAAGACAAGGTTTTCTTGTATTGCCCAGGCCGGTCTCGAACTCTTGACTTCAGGTAATCCTCCCACCTCAGCTTCCCAAAGTGCTGAGATTACAGGGATGAGCCACCATGCCCAGCCAGGTGTAGGGAAGGCAGTCTAGGGGCTGGGGATTCCAATGCCAGCACCACCCTGCCTACCTTCTCACACATCAAGTCACAAGGTCATATTCCAGTGACCAGTGGGGGTGACCCAGTTGCTTCCTCTGTCTTTGGAAGCAGAATGGAGGTTATCACTCACTTGGCAGGCTGATACACCTTTCCTTTCTTTCCTGTCACCTCCTCCCTAACCCTGGCCCCATGCAAATCTCCCTGGCCTGAGTTCCACGGATGATAGTTCCCAGCCTGGGATGGCCACTACAGCCGCAGTATGACTAAAGGGCTCCTCCGCAACTCAGAATGACAAGACTTCATTCACAGGGCCTTAATCTGAGGTTCTTTCTCCCTGGAGAACCCTTCTGGGTGTTATTCTAAGGACACTACTCAAGGCTGTCACTATGAAGGTGTTACACAGGGCTGTGTCTCCAGGTGTGCTATTCTGGTACTTGTAGGGTGTTGGTCTGGGTATATTCCAAAAGTGTTGATCTGTGACTAGTACTCTGGCATTAGTATAAAACTGAGTGTTACTCAGGGCTCTGTTCTGGATATGTGGTCTAGAGACTGTTTCTCCTAGGTATAATTCTAGGGGTTATTACTTGGATCTAAGTAATAACATCTTAGACTTAGGGCTCAATTTTTGTGGGAATGTGGCTCTAAAGGTGGATCTGGGGTTTATTACTCATGGATATTTTGTTTGTTTTATACTCTGAGGATTCTTATGGGGATGGAGTGATGGAATATTATCTATAGGTGTTACTCAAGGACTGTTACTCTGGGTCAGTGACTCAAGGGGTGGTTCTCTTGACTAGTATTCGGGAGTTGATGCAGGAGGTGGGACTCCAGATTACCAGGAAGAGTTGAGATGGCCTGTGGATCCTTTAAACTCTGACCCCACAGGTCCTAGGTGGTACAGGGCCAGTGCCTCTATAGCAGCGTCTGTAGGCAGGTTAACTGCCTCTGAAAGGAAATCAGACCAGAAGATGAGCTGAAGGGCCCTGGGTGTCAACCCAGGAGCTTCTGAGCATCACCCTGCCTGAGGGGTGGGTTAGGAGCATCTCTGCCCTTCAGTCACCCCCAGCCCTGGCATACAGGGATGTGAACACCATGAAGTCCTTGCATGAATGAATCAGAGCATCAGATATATGTTTGTCTCCTCAGTCTGGTATACAACCCCAGCCTAGCTTCCTTCCTGGGGCTCTAAATTTCCCATGAGGGTGGGGGAAGACTGAGCCCCAGAGGGCAGGCTGAGCCTCCAAGCTCCATCCTGTTCCTCTCTTCCCTTACTCCCCAGATGGGTGGTTTGAATGGCCCAGGGTACCACTACCAGTACCAGTCTCTGTATGTACTAGAAAAAGGCACCCCTGCCTGCCCCTAGGCGGAGAGAGCCTAATGCTAATCCCAGGGAGTCCACATTGAGATCCTACTGACTCCTTCAGCTAGGGACCCTTGTTCAGGGTACAACCTGAATTGGGGTCAAGGGAGGGAGGGGGAGTCAGCAGAGCTGTAGAATGACCCCAATCCTTCCCCAGCTGTATGAGCTCGATGCAGACCCCAAGAGGAAGGAATTTCTGGATGACCTGTTTAGCTTCATGCAAAAGAGGGGTGAGTGGCATGATGTGGGGGAAGGGCCCTGGAATTGCCCCCTTACCAGGTTTGAGGAAACCCGGTTGGGTTCTCCCTGCTGAGGCCTGAGCTTGGCAGCACCTGTCCTTTGGGCCCTCGATAGCGTCTTTAACCTCTGACCCTGTCCCCCTCCTCCACCCCAGGATTAATTAGTGGCCAGCCCACTGGCAGGTTAATGAGTTTGGGATCAATTGGGAGGGTGGGAGGGGGAACTGATGGGAGCCTGGCCTGGGGTGGGAGGGTCCCAGAATCAGAGGGCTGAGAATGCCTTGGTTCTGTGTCCAGGGTCCTTCCTCCAGCCATGTCTTCCCTGTTTTCCCTTGATTCAGGCAGGGGACACCTCACGTGCTCTACAGCAGGAAGGACTAGGAATAGACTGAAGGAAGGACTTCCCAAGGGGTGGGCTGGGGACTATGTGAGTTGAGGCTGTGGAGGAGGAGAAATTCCTTTCCAGGAATGTCAGAGCTGGAGGAGAACGCAAGAAGGGTCCAGGAGGGCATCAGGGTGGGCGGCAGTCCATCACTTCAGCTTTTTCCCAGATTCATGGGACCGAACACTGACTCATTATCTCTCTCTGCAAAGCTAATTAACTCACTCAGAGCGCAGCCTGATAAGCCGCTAATTAACTGGCTGCCCTGTTACCCCCCGCCCCCCCACCGCCTTTAGTGCAGCTGCTGGCCCACTTCCCACTCCCGGCCCTCACCCCAGCACCTCTTTCTGGTCCCTTACCTTCCCAGGGACCCTCAGTAGGGACCTAAGTCCTTTTGGTTCCCAGGGAGGCCCATTCTGGTTCCAGTGTTCCCTCTCTGGCCCTTCCTCGAGGCCTCCCCTCCACTGGGGTAGCGGGTGTGAACCGATCCCAGCATTGCCTGCCTCCCTTCGGTCCCTGCCTCCCACCGCTCCAGCTGCAGGGGGAGGGGGTCCCGCGGGGCCGATAATTTTCCCCCATTAATCAGGCCGCAGCTAATTGTTCGGGTCCAAAGGCGCGGCGGAAGGGGACGGGATCGGTAAGGAATTAACTGGGGCCCATCGCTCAGCGCAGACAGGCCCCTTTGTCAGGACTGGCCGGCGGGGGCGGCGCGGGCTGCGGAGTCGGCGGGCCGAGGCGGGAGTTGATTCTTTTCCCGCCCGTCATCCCCCAGCCTTGGGCAGCCACCCGGGGGCTGCTGCTTAGGGGAGGCCGGCTCTTCAGCACTGTCCGAAAGTCCTTCCTGCGGTCTACCCCAGGGGACAGCAAACTAAAGTTTGCAGGCCAAACCCAGCTGCCTGCAAGATAAGAATGGTTTTTACTTGTTTAAATAGTTGGGGGACAAAATTTAAAGATGAATAACATCTCCAGACTGGTGAAATTCGAATTTCAGAGTCTATATTATTGGAACACAGCCGCATCCATTCCTTCAGGTATTCTCTATGGCCGCCTTTAGGCTACAATGACAGCGTTGAGTAGTTGTGACAGAGACCATTTAGCCATCTGGCCTTTTACAGAACTTTGCCCCCCCCCGTTCTAGCCTCCTGTCCTTCTTGCTAAAACAGAGACCCTGGGGTTCTGTGGGCTCCGCCCAAGTCTCCCTCTTTCCCGCCCTCCCCGGGGCTCCCGTCCTGTATCAGTCCCTGGGGATGCTGCAGACAGGGTCTTCGTCTCAGTGTCCTGACGGCAGCCCGCTCCCCACCAGGGACGCCAGTGAACCGCGTGCCCATCATGGCGAAGCAGGTGCTCGACCTGTACGCTCTGTTTCGCCTGGTGACCGCCAAGGGCGGCCTGGTGGAAGTCATCAACCGCAAAGTGTGGCGGGAAGTCACGCGCGGCCTCAGCCTACCCACCACCATCACCTCGGCCGCCTTCACTCTACGCACCCAGTGAGGCCAGGGGCGGGAGCGGAAGGGAAGGGGGCACGGGTTCGGCCTGGGGCGGGAGGGGGGAGGGTCCCCGGGCGGGCGTCCGGCTGTGGGACTTGACCAGCTGGGTGCAGCCTCCCATACACTCACCGCCCGCTGTCCGCCCCTAGGTACATGAAGTACCTGTACCCGTACGAGTGCGAGACTCGAGCGCTCAGCTCCCCAGGGGAGCTCCAGGCCGCCATAGACAGCAATCGGCGCGAGGGCCGTCGCCAGGCTTACACCGCTACTCCGCTCTTCGGCTTGGCAGGGCCGCCCCCTCGGGGCGCTCAGGACCCAGCCTTGGGTCCCGGCCCCGCCCCTCCGGCGACCCAGTCCAGCCCTGGCCCAGCCCAGGGTTCCACCTCCGGCCTGCCAGCGCATGCATGCGCTCAGCTGAGTCCAAGCCCTATTAAGAAAGGTGCGAGGGGAGAATGGTAGAGGTTTCGGGGTCTCTGAGGTTTAGGTGGGCGCTAAGATATAGCAACCATTAAAATGTGAGGATTGAGGTCTGGGGAGGCATTGAGGTATGGGAGCAGTAAGGTCTGACGGGCTTCTGAGGTTTGGGGGTCACTAAGGTTTAGGGGTCCTGAGGTTTGCGGCCAAATGAGAGCTCTGGGGTACGGGTTACTGAAGTGTAGGGGCTGAAGTTCAGGAAAAGGTCCTTTTTTTTCTTTTTTTCTTTTTTTTTTTTTTTTGTGAGACGGAGTCTCGTTCCGTCGCCCAGGCTGGAGTGCAGTGGCGCGATCTCAGCTCACGGCAACCTCCGCCTCCCGGGTTCAAGCGATTCTCCTGCCTCAGCCTCCCGAGTAGCTGGGACTACAGGGGCCCGCCACCATGCCCGGCTAATTTTTGTATTTTTAGTAGAGACGGGGTTTCACCGTGTTAGCCAGGATGGTCTCGATCTCCTGACCACGTGATCCGCCCTCCTCCGCTTCCCAAAGTGTTGGGATTACAGGCTGAGTCACCGCGCCCGGCCAGGAAAAGGTCCTTTAATCACAGCAACTCCATTCCACACATGTCCACCCAGTGCTCCTATTTGCATATAGTTTGTGCCTCTTGTGACCTGGATTATTTAATAACCAACAGCCAAAAACAATCCCCCAAATTGTCTAGACATGTACCTTGATCCTTTGGGCTCTAGAGAAAAGCTTCAGCGCTTCCAGGCTGAGGCTCTGGATGGGAAGATAGATCGAATGAAGGATGAGAGATTGGTACATGAGCTTGAGTTACCTCTTTTGGTCCCAGGCCTGGGGGAGAACCAATGCAGAGATGGGTTGGTTTGGCCAGGGGAGCTGAATAACCTGTTCTTCTAGAGGAGAGTGGAATTCCAAACCCTTGTCTGGCACTGCCTGTGGGCCTGGCACTGGGACCTACACGGGAGAAATTGGCACCAGAGGAGCCCCCAGAGAAGAGAGCTGTGCTGATGGGGCCTATGGACCCACCTCGACCTTGCATGCCCCCCAGTTTCCTGCCCCGTGGCAAGGTTCCCCTGAGGGGTGAGGAGGGGCTTGTTGTGAGGGGGCTTCGGGACTGTACACTGAGGGAGGATTGACCCATCACCTGATAGGTGTTAGAGACGGGGCAGACAGATTCCTCTGTAGACAACTGTGTGAGTATAGGTGTGGGGCTGAAGTGGAATGGGGGCTGTCTACGGGGATGGAGGGGGGAAATTCTATTAATAAGTCAGAAGTCTGATTCTCCAAAATGTGATTCCTCTGCCCCCTCCTGGACAGAAGAGCGGCTGGATGGGCCTCTTAATCTGGCAGGCAGTGGCATCAGCAGTATCAACATGGCCCTAGAGATCAACGGGGTGGTCTACACTGGTATGGGTACTGCAGGCTGTCTACACTGGCATGGGGTCAGGGGTATTTAGGCTGGCATGGGGATTTTAGACTTCCTCTACTAGCATGAAGTTCAGGGATATCTAAACTTGCATGAGTAACATGGAGTTCAGGGGATTGCTAGACTGGCATGGGTTAAAGGGGGTGTCTACATGGCATGGGATCCAAGGCATGACCTCTCTGGCATGAGTACCAGGGGATGTCTGCCTTGTCTTGGGCCTATGTATCAGCATAAATATTCCTTGTTTACCTGTTTGAGGTATCTACATTAGCAATGGAGTCTCTTACTGACCCAAGGAGCTTGTCCTCATTGGTTTGTGGCAGGGGTACGTGTGTAGTGTTCTAGCAACCAGAACACTTACTTTTGTTCCCCTCTTCTGTTTCCATACCCTACCCCCTCCTGCTTGTTTTTGCCCTCTACCATCTCCTCACCCCTTTGCCAGGTGTCCTCTTTGCCCGCCGCCAGCCTGTGCCAGCTTCCCAGGGTCCAACCAACCCTGCACCCCCACCCTCCACAGGGCCCCCTTCCAGCATCTTGCCCTGAGAGGTCCTACTTGAAACTAAGAGTCCCAGCCCCATTGCTGAGGGGGGAGGAGACCCCCTGCTTTGATTCTTTCTGGCTGCCCACTCTGGGACCCAGCCCTGGGAGGGGACGACACCTCCCATGCCATGTGGACTTAAAACCAAAGTTTCTTTTGATGTTACACCTACCTCATTGTAAAGGGAGGGCACCTCCTCCCTGGCCAATTCCAGCAGCACCTACCAAAGGGTTCTTCCTCCAGTAACCCCATCATCTCCTCATGTGTTCCCTCTGTCAATGTCATCTCTAGGACCCTACCCTTTTGAGTCAGCCCTGCTTCTCTTCAGGAGCCAAGTGAAAGGTTGGGTTGGGGTACTGTGAAAGAGACATCCCTCAGGTCACATCTAGACAATAAAGCTGCGGTCCCTCCCTCTCTGATGCCTCCTTTCTTGTTTGGGTATGGGAGGTGGGGAGGAATGATGTGGAACATAGGCTGCCTTGGGCCAGGGGCTTTCAGAGGTTAAGGCAGAATAGCAAAGTTTCGTGAGAATAGAAGAGCTCCGTCTCTTGAATCAGACAGCCTGAGTTCAAGTCCTGTTTCTGTCCCTATAGTGCTGGGTGGCCTTGGGCAAGTTACTTAATCAACTGAACCTTAGAAGACTCCAAAAGTTTATGGTAACTCACGGAGCCTCCTAATGATGTATCTATGGGAATGGACCTATCCTGGAACACGTGCAAACTCAGGGAATGGCGTGGGGAAAGCTCTTTGGTACCCGAAAAGCAAAGGTTATCTTGACAACCAGGCACTGGAAGCCAGGGGAGGGATGGGACAGAGCCGTTGCCAAGGTAATCAGCTTTTGACAGCTCCGAGGAGTAACTTCCGGCACTGAAGGGCTGAATCATGGCGTCACTTCCTGCATAAAGGGCCGCTCGTGCACTCGGATTGGCTAGCCTTCTTATTTGGACTGACGTCCCGCCCTCTGGCTGTTTCCTGGCCGAGGTGGGTCGGTAGTAGCGATGGCGGGTCTGACTGACTTGCAGCGGCTACAGGCCCGAGTGGAAGAGCTGGAGCGCTGGGTGTACGGGCCGGGCGGGGCGCGCGGCTCACGGAAGGTGAGTAGTCTGGTCCGGTAGTCCCTTTCTGGAGCAGAGCAAGAGCGGTCCACTGTCCTGGCCCTCGGGATGCAACCGCTCCAGTCCTGTTCTCCGCAGCCCGGCCTTTGAAATAACAAAGGTCCGGGACCTCCCAGAGCTGATTGGACCATCGGGGTCCACTGTCATAGGGGGCTCTGCGGGTGGTTAAGCCAGCCTGAGAGTGGGCTCCGTACCTACTGTAGCTGAGACTCCGCCCTTGCCCTCGCGAGCTATAGTTGGGGAGACCTGACACGAGAAGCTGACTAATGAGAGTTTCAATAAGAGCTGAAGTCCACGATAGGAAGGCCCGTCATAGAGCCCTGCATAATTAATTGCTAAATGAATTGTGCAGGAAGAGGTCCATGGGACCCCTGGGGAGGCAGAGCAGAGGTGGATAAGGAAAACGCCAAAGGGTGAGAAGTGAGGTCTGAAAGGACCAGGATTAGGAAGGGAAGAGACTGGGTACTGGGTATTCAGATGTGGACTAGCACTGCTTTATACCAGTGACAGAATTTTGACAACTACGAAGCTCAGGTGCCCTCTCCTCCCCTTTCTACTATGGGAAGATCTTTTATTGAAGAACTTCTGATGGCGTGTCAGGCATGTCCTGGAGCTAAGTGCGTCCAAGGTAATGATGTCTGTTTGTACACTAAATGAGGAATTAGTTGTCACTAGCAGACTGTGCTCCCATTTCAGAACTAACTTCTCAAACATTCTCTTCCTTTGGGATCTATGACGCTGACCCTCCTGGTTTTCCTTCTACCTCTTACGGCTGCTTCTCAGTGTTATTTGCCTCCCCCCTGGCATTCCTCATCCTCTACCCTAAAAACTGGGTGAGTGCAGTCACTTCCTTAGTCTCCTCCTCTATTTGACCCTTTAATATTGGGATTCTTTACATTCTACCCCTAAACTTTAGGTAGGCTCACTCGCTTCCATGGTGTCAATTACTATTTACATGTCAATATGTCTCAAATGTATATCTCTGGTCCAGATTTCTGTTCTGAGAACCAGACTTTTATGTCTAGTTGTCTACTGGACTTTTCCACTTGGATATCCAATAGTCATTTCAAACTCAATCTGTATGCCCTTAACTGTACTCTTTCTCTCCCCTAACCTGATTCTCTTCTGTATTCCCTAATTCAGTGATTGCACCATCATTGGGATCCCAGTTGTTTGGACTCTTCCATCTCCCACACCAAATTTGATGTGGAGGGGATAGGGCTAGAGGTAGGCCAGCCAATCTAGAGGTCATGAAGGCTTGAATGAGGATGCTTGTGTTTCTCATGCCCAAACCCAGGACTTAGGAACCAGAAAATATATTGTGTATACTCTATATTCCATAGACTCTAAAATAGTTCGTTATCTTCCCCATCAGACTTGAAACTCCCCAAGGAGTACATGATTCTCTCTCTCCACTTTAAGGATTCCTGGAAGGTGGGGCTGCATCTCCTTTAATATTAGAGAAGGGAGGCCAACCTAGATTACTGGGATTCAGGTTTGAGAGTCTGGGAGAATGAGGGTTCTTTAACTTTTCCAAGCCTTGAGCCAGGTAGTATATCTTGGAATTAACCACCACTTCCCTTACAGGTGGCTGACGGCCTGGTCAAGGTGCAGGTGGCTTTGGGGAACATTTCCAGCAAGAGGGAGAGGGTGAAGATTCTCTACAAAAAGAGTAAGTGCTTCCATGATGTGCCTGCCTGCCCGACATCCCACCCCTCAGCTTCCTGGTACCTGGCCCTAGCCCTTCAGTTCATTAGGTCACTGGAATAGCCCTTTGGGGATAGAAAGATTATGAGGACATTTACCTACACCCAATTCAATTGGTAAATTGTGGTGTGCTTTTCTACCTTGTGGCTAAACCTCAAGCCCATGACAGTGTCCTAAGTTATGAAATAAGAGCTCTACCTGAAAGCTTCTCTTGGTGAAGGAGGGTAAAAAGGGTATGGGATTTCCCAGGCAAGGTTAAGGGGCAGGAAACAAATTAGACACTGAGATCCTGGTTATGTCAGAACTAGTAACCTGCTTAGTAACTAGAAATTAGACAAAGCTCTGGCTTGTCTCGGTGACATCTAGGAGAAAAGAGGCCTTCTACCCTTGGTGAGGATAGGTCAGTGAGAATGCTAAGGGCCCAGAGTGGTGGTGGCAATTGTGTTTTCAGCTCTGAAGCTTGATGTCAGAAGAGACTTCAAGAGAAGAGAGTGGAGAGATAGGGAAGTGGGGATAGGGAGCCTGGTGGAGCCCTGCTCATGTGGCACTGTTGGGTATCAGCTCCTCATTGAAGGCTCTCCTCAAGGCTGACCACTTGTCAAACATCCTTCATAAGGCAGAGCTCTACTGCCCAACCCTATTCCATTTTCCATCTTGCTACTTTTCTAGTTGAAGATCTGATCAAGTACCTGGATCCTGAGTACATCGACCGCATTGCCATACCTGATGCCTCTAAGCTGCAATTCATCCTAGCAGGTAATGCTGGACTACATGTGTACATGCATCTGAGGATGTGGGTCGTCGGGGAGGTTAAGCACAGAGATGGCCTCTCCATCCAGTCTTCTGGTGGATACAAGCCCTGGATGCTGCTCTCTGGAATTGTGGCCTGGTTCTGGGTTGAGGATCCTATGGATCCTCTAGTAGACATTGAGTACAGTATACCTCTGCACCAGCTGCAGGCCATGGTGCCAGCCACAGTGGGAGCTAGTCCAGTGTTCTATCAATAGTTTGCCTCTTGGATTTTCCTTCAGAACCTTCCTCACTTCTGCTCACTAGACAGAGGAGCTTCTAGGAAAGGGTAGGGGCAGAGAGCATTGCCATTAAAGAACAGAGAGAGTATTGGCATGAGTTTCAACATCTTTCTTTCATGTGAGAAAGCTCTGCAGTGTCAGAGTTCTAGGCAGGAACTATTGCCTTGGCAATGTCTGCTAATCAGTCAGCCATTCTATAAGCTAGGGTTTTTTGAGCTTCGTTATTCATCCAAAAGATGTATAATGATCATCTACTCTGATCCAGGTTCTTTCCTAAGTGAGGAAGCATACAGTGGTGAACCAGAAAGTCCCTGCCCTCATGGGCACAGCCAGAGCTAGGGGAGACAGGGTCCCTGCTTCAGGGACCTGAGCTTATAACCCAGATGGGAGATCAGTCTCCCAGGAGACTGATCAGTGCAATGCAGCACTGAGGACTGGGTAAGGATGGGCCACTCCTGCTAAAAGGGCTGTCAGAGTTCCCAAAGGGCTCTTGGTCAATTGCCATCGCTCAAGCACCAAGTTTAGATATTCTCCTGCACTGACTCTTGAGTCCAGCCTCTCCATCCCTCCCTGTGGCACTGCCTCAGGAATTGTGCATCCACTTGCATATGAATGGTTGCACAGTCTCCTAAATCATACTCTTGACCCTAATCTTTCCCTTCCTGCATGTGGTTCAGTCTCACCCTCACAAAAACATGTTCCCAACATGTCACTTTGCCTACTTTGGAACCTCAGTGTATCCTGCCTTGCTAGGATAAAGTCCTAATTCCATAGTCTGCCATTCAAAGCCTTTCAGTCGGCCGGGTCTACCCTCCCATCCAACTCTGTTTCCTGTGCTCTCCCTACTCCAGTTCAGCTAATTGAATTCTTTCTCCTCTACTAATTGACAGGCATTCCTGCCTCTAAGCATTTGCACGTAACAGTCCTCTCTCTTGAATACCCTTCCCACTCTATGGATTTCAGTGCATTGAAATCCCGTGTGCATACAGGGCCTAGCCCAGATCCTGCTCTCCTCACTGGACTCTTCCATTACTGTCCCAGCTCTCCTCCAGCATATAATTGTCTATGCCTCTGAGAGCCACTGAGCAGAACCTGCCTGGCGTAGTCTGCCACATATCTCTTTTAGACCTTCCTGGGGACCCTTGGGTGTGGGGATCCAAGTCTGAAGTATTTTGTATTTTGTGGCCTAGGAGGTGCTCCCTGAGTTTGTTGATAGGAGGCTAGAAGAAGAGGTCTTGAAGTTAAACCTTGGAGAAAGGTGGGATTTGGAGAAATTGAGAGGCTCATTAGGCTCAGATGGGTCAGACCTGAGGCATCCAGGAGAGTTGGGGGCAGGATGGAAATGTGCACCTAGAGAAGGGGGCAGTGGACAGAGTCACTGTCCAAAGCTCTAGGACCTAGCCATCTCCCTTGCCAGGTCCTCAGGCCCTTACATGGGCTGATTAGCAATGCCCAGGTTTGCTTCACTGCAACTATCTTGTCCATTTTTGCTTTAGAGGAGCAGTTTATCCTTTCCCAGGTTGCACTCCTGGAGCAGGTGAATGCCTTGGTGCCCATGCTGGACAGTGCTCACATCAAAGGTATCTCTCTGGGGTTATAGCTTCACTACTCTGGTTGGGGAGGTAGGTGGATGGATGGGCAAGACTTTCCTGTGTTTCAGGTTGTGTGGATTCGGGTTGGGTCTGTTCCTTATCTTTTTTTTTTTTTTTTGGACAGAGTCGTACTCTGTCACCCAGGCTGGAGTGCAGTGGCATGATCTTGACTCACTGCAACCGCTGCCTCCTGGTTCAAACAAACTTCCCACCTTGCCTCCCAAGTAGCTAGGATTACAGGTGTGTGCCACCACACCTGGCTATTTTTAGTAGAGACGGGGTTTCACCATGTTGTCCAGGCTGGTCTCAAACTCCTGGCCCCATGTGATCCACCTGCCTCGGCCTCTCAGAGTGCTGGGATTACAGGCGTGAGCTACTGTGCCTGGCCTGTTCCTTATCTTTATCCTCACCCTGAGGTACTTGCCACATCCACCAATTAAAATTACCAGGATAGAGAGCCCAGTTTTAGGACCTCAGGCAATTTGGGCCTGAGAACACTAGCCTAAGCTCTAGCAGTCCCCAGCTCTGGGGATTCCTTCTGCCTTCTACCTACCCCCAAGCATCTCTTCTTCAAGGTGCTGCAGAACCCAGATTTTACTATCAGAGTCTCTGCCAGGTCCATGAATGTATGTGAATTCTTTCTGCTGCACTGCTGAGAGCAGTCCCTGGGCCTGGACTTTGACAAGCAGATAGTGGCTTTAATTGAATCCAGATATCCATCTTGTCTGTCTGTGGAGGTATTTTTCCCAGCTCCCCCTCCCTACCCCTGATCAGCTGCCCGCTGAGTATCTGACAGCCTTAAGCTTTGAGCCCAGCATGGTGGCCAAGCCTTGGCGTGTTGGATTCCAGCTTAGGGACCTGGCATCCATCTTCAGACTCCCTGTTCCCTAAGCCAGGCAGACCTGCCCCCGCTGGGCTGAGAGCAAAGGGACAGGTCCTATAATAGCCAAAGCTCTCTTTACCTGGTCCTGCTTATAGCACTGGGGTGGGGGTAGGGAGCAACACTGGGAACCCCAAGGTTTTGTCTTCTCCTCGGGACATGTATCTTCCCCTCCCCTATGGGTCCTGGAGTAAGACTGGAGTGGGCAGGGAGCCCCACTGCCACCTCCAGCTGCAGCAGTCGATGAAGTCTGGCGTTTGTTTAGCTTCTCCACTCAATACTCTAATCCTGCCAAAGACCTAATAGACTATTGAGCAGTCCCGGGGGAGGGCACAAGCATCATCCAGCAGTGTGTGTTGTGTTTTACAGCCGTTCCTGAGCATGCTGCCCGCCTGCAGCGCTTGGCCCAGATCCACATTCAGCAGCAGGTATGGGAGGGGAGATGACTAGAAGCGAAGATGGAGGTGGCGCAGCACCTCATCCCAACTCATGCCACCTGGGGAAGCAGCTTCAGGCCTTTCTGTTGTAACCTCAGCAGAAACTTTGGGGTTTATCCTTTATCTTGCATATGCCCCAGGGAGGTAAAGGGACTTGCCTAGGTTCATGTACAAACTTTCTGCTTCCAGAGCAGGACTTTATTGGGACACCATAAGGTTGAGGCTGGGAGGTACCCAAGAATTCCTGGGGATGGTATGTCATTGACTGTGGGTAGAGGGGCTCTTTTTTCACTATTCCCAGGCCCTAGTGTAAAGTTCAAAGAGAGTTCAGAAATAAGGACAGAAGAAGAGACATACACTAGGGGGAATGTTTACTTAATGTATGGCCACTCCCTTTTCCATCCGTCTTTGGACTGCTGTTAGGGCACCCATCCTGGAGCCTGAAAGTGCTCCCATAGCCATTTGCTCCTTTGGCTTTGGGGTTAAGCGTCATCTTTTTTAGGCTCCATGGGGAGTGGGAGTCCGTGATGAGGCAGGAAGTTTAGTGGAAGATGTGGGCTTTGCCCAGTTCCTTTCTGTGCTACACTTTGGCCCTACAGGACCAGTGTGTGGAAATCACTGAGGAGTCCAAGGCTCTCCTGGAGGAATACAACAAGACTGTATCCTTTCTGCTCAACTAGGACCCTAATGGGTGCTGTCCCTAAGCCCTGTCCTTTTGTTCCACCTCTAGCTCTCTCTCATCCTATCCTACCCACCTATGTTTGCCTGTTCCCCACTTTCCATGAACTTCCTCACTCAGATTCCTATTCTCACCTTGACCTACAACCAGACAATGCTTCTCTCCAAGCAATTCGTGCAGTGGGATGAGCTACTTTGCCAGCTAGAGGCCGCCACGCAAGTGAAGCCAGCAGAGGAGTGATAGCTGCTCCCCATCCCAAAGTGGGCCTGGGCAGTCAGGCTCCAGGGCCCTATGCCAACCTGCCTTTGTTACAAGGCAGAGGAAGCTTTGTATTTATTGGCTTCAAGGCCCACCTCTCTGTACTCTGGGCTCTAAAGTTGGAGGTCAGGTTACCTGAGGTTTGCAATTTGCAACACCCACCCTCCCCCCAATCAGTGTTCTTATTTCAGTGACAATAAACCATAGAGATGACTGGAGGAGTGTGCTGGCTTCTTGGTCTAGGATGGAGGTGGTAGGGGGCAGAGGTGTCAGCCTGCCTAATCGTTTGACTGGGAACTAAACTCATCCTGGTCTGGCTTTCTGGCAGGTGTAGAGCTCTCAAAATGAAGGCTCTCATTTGATTATGTGAATAGGATATTCCTTTATGTATCCATTTATCCCACATTTACCAATAAGAGACCTCCAAATGTCAGATGATGGGAGTAGATAGGGCTAATCCCTGCCCTGCACGGGCTAGCAGGATAGACAGTAAAGGAAAAGGGCAGTCCTATCAGGTGGACACAGAAGAAAAAAGGGACTGAAGGGACCTGGTAAGTGATATCCAGGGACTTTCAGAGCCAAGGGAGCAGCATGTGCAAAGGCCTTTAAATTTCTCTCTTGGGAGCCTACCTGCTGCCACGAGCCGAGAAGGGCAGCCTAAGAGGTTTGGATGCAGGAAGTTTTGGTCCTGGGGAGGGGAAGTTGGGAAGTAGGGGCGCTGGGGCAAGCATGTTGAGAAACAGATTGGCACCGTAGTCCACCAAATGTTTGCTGCCCCCTTGTGGTCTCAGGGAGTGCTCTGGCTCCAGACCCTTTTTCCAACGGCCCATTGGCCGCCCCGCCTTTGCGACCTCTCCGGCACCTCAAATTCAGCGTGTCCAAACCGATCTGAAACCTGGGAGTCACCCTAGATCGGAATTTCCTACTTCTCCGTCCAAACAGTGGCCAACTCGTCACTGAACCTACTAGTATCTCCCAACTTAATCTTTTTTCCATTCCCACCGCGATTTCTCTGGTTCATTAATGTAACAAATCATTTAACAAATATTGAGCGCCGGTCATACGCCAGGCACCATACTAGGCTCCGTGGGCACCCCCGCCCCCTCAGCCCCCAGACTCCGCGGCAGGTGTCGTCAGGGGCTGTGGCCCGATTTCCCCACCACTCCCTCCTCGGCTCCCTGCACAAGATCTGGTTCGACTGGCCCCTGGAAAACCCGGAAAACCCCCGTGGTCCGCCAGCGCCCACAGGATGAGGTCGAAGCTCAGAAGTCGGTAACTAAGGCTCTCGCCCATGCAACAGCAGCCACTACAAACTGAAGCCTTTGTTCGCACCCACGGTGAAACCCACAGCTCCCCGTTTGCTCAACAGCTAACGCCAGCCCTCCCATCTTCTAAGGGCCAGATCCCCCTCCTTCAGACGCAGGACTTCCCCGACGGCCGCTCCTTTCTACCGCAGGGAACTGTCCTGCCTCCCTCCGGGGCGTAACAGCGGAGGCTGCGCTCGTGTTCCCATCCCCGCTGGGACTGGTCCGGGGCGCTCTGGCCAGCGGGTTGTTTCCGCGGCGGAGATGCCTCGGGGCCCGTCCCTCACGCCCCGCCCCTCACGCCCCGCCCCCTCGGGGCGTGCGCGGCCCCGCGGCCTTAGTGCGCTCCGGGCCCGCGCGCCATCTTGGCTCCGGATCGTGCGTGAGGCGGCTTCGGTGAGAGCCGGAACCGGGCGGGCAGAGGGGCGCTCGTAGGGTTGGGGGACGCCTGTGGCTTGGCTGCAGCGGCCGGCAAGACCCTGGAAGAGACCGTGGCTATGGAAACGGCCAAGGCTGTCTTGGAATGTCCTGAGCAGCCCTCCGAGTCGAGCCTCTGCCCCCGAGTTTCTGAGTGACCTGGGTTGATATAGATTGACCTTGGTAATCTCTGGGAGAGGGGATCCGTTCTGTTTGGGGGCAGCACTGGATAAGGGTTCTTGGCTGTTTCCCGGGGGGCCTGGGGCGAAGGGCCTTGTCCCTGTCCTTGTAGAGCCCCAAGTGAGGAGCGCTCTCTATTGGTATTAGTCTGGGGTGAGGGTTCCAGGCCCTGTTCCAAGGAGCCCAGGATAAGGGGGGCTAAGCCCCAGTCCTGGAGAGTTTAGGATGAGGGGGCCTGGCACTTTCCCAAAGAGCTCAGTGTTTGGGGAATGTGATCCTGCCTCTTGGACTCCAGGATTGGAGGTGGGGGTGTTATGGCCCTTGTAGAGGAACGGGGTGTATGGGGTACAGCCCTTTCCCAGACTGCGGCAGGCATGGACCTTGTCACGAGATGCTAAGGACAAGGGGACATGATCCTGTTTCTGGGAAGTCTGGAACGGGGAGCAGGGCCATATCCTGGATGGAGATAGGGGATGGTGGACAGTGACTTGGGGCACATTGCTTAGCACTTACCTGATGCTTCCCTGCAGTGGGCAGCGAGAGTCACAGACAAGACAGCAAGCAGGATGGAGCACTACCGGAAAGCTGGCTCTGTAGAGCTCCCAGCGCCTTCCCCAATGCCCCAGCTACCTCCTGATACCCTTGAGATGCGGGTCCGAGATGGCAGCAAAATTCGCAACCTGCTGGGGTTGGCTCTGGGTCGGTTGGAGGGCGGCAGTGCTCGGCATGTAGTGTTCTCAGGTTCTGGCAGGGCTGCAGGAAAGGCTGTCAGCTGCGCTGAGATTGTCAAGCGGCGGGTCCCAGGCCTGCACCAGCTCACCAAGCTACGTTTCCTTCAGACTGAGGACAGCTGGGTCCCAGCCTCACCTGACACAGGGCTAGACCCCCTCACAGTGCGCCGCCATGTGCCTGCAGTGTGGGTGCTGCTCAGCCGGGACCCCCTGGACCCCAATGAGTGTGGTTACCAACCCCCAGGAGCACCCCCTGGCCTGGGTTCCATGCCCAGCTCCAGCTGTGGCCCTCGTTCCCGAAGAAGGGCTCGAGACACCCGATCGTGAAGACCTGCTGAGCCAGCCTGTTCTCCGGGCCTGAATGTCTGGGGTGCTTGTGCCTTTTCTGAGAAGCGTTGTGACTGCTCAACATCCCCATCAAGGTTTGAGTCCACAAAAGTGGACCTCCCTATCATGCTTCCCCTTCCCTCTAGCATGTGGGAAGGGACTGCTGTGAAGAATGACAGATGTGGGGCCTCTGCCAAGTTCTGCATTGCTAAATAAGGGCTTCCTCTGCCTTCTACCTACAGTGCATTTGAACTGCCTTCTGAAAGAGGTCCAGGGAGGGATTTAGGAAATAAAGTTTCTACCTATTTGATGAGCCTCTACTCAGCCTGCTATGTGGAGTGGGATTAAAGAAATGGGAGTCCCCGCCCTTACCCCGGGGGGCTGATCGGGTGAAGACAGAGGAAGAGTAGTAGGCTCAGGCCGGTGCTGGGAGAATATAGTGTCTACAAGAAGCCTCAGTCAGTACTGAATATATCTAATTCCCTGGATAGTTATTTGCCCCTGCTTTGGCCTGGTTTAGGAACACTGCCAGGTCAGACATTTCTCTCCATCTGCAGCATACAGTATAGTATAGTGGTTGTGAGCATGGACTCTGGTACCAACCTGCCTGGGTTTCAATCCTGGTCTGCCACTTATTAGCAAGTTACTGCTCTGTGCCTTAGTGGTCTTATCCATAAAACAGGAATACGATAGTGTTTATCACATAGGATTGTTATGAGATTACATAAGGAAATATACATATATGACATTTAGATACCACACTGGCACATAGTGCTATTAAGTGTTAATTGCTATTATCGTTATTAATGACTTACCTATCCCAAATGCAACAACTGTCTCACACCTCCTTCCCTCCAGCTTCCTTGCCCCAATCTCAGCTATGGAGCTGGACTCTGCTTTGAAGAGACAGAGGCCTTTCGAACTCCCTCATGTTCCATCTTCACCTCCAGACCTGTCTGTATACACATTTATCCTCAACTCCACTAGTTTGCAAACATGCTTTTTCCTGTCTTAGAATCATATCTTTGGGTTGGGCACAGTGGCTGATGCCTGTAATCCCAGCACTTTGGGAGGCTGAGGCAGGAGGATTGCTTGATCCCAGGAGTTGGAGACCAGCCTGGGCAACATAGTAGGGAGACCCTGTCTCTACAAAAACATCTAAAAATTAGCTAGGCATAGTGGTGTGCACCTTTAGTCCCAGCTACTTGGGAGGCTGAGGCAAGAGGATCGCTTGAGCCCGGGAGGTTGAGGCTGCAGTGAGCCATGATTGTGCTACTGTACTTCGGCCTGGATGACAGAGTGAGACCCTGTCTCAAAAACAGAAAACAGGCTGGGCGCAGTGGCTCACACCTGTAGTCCCAGCACTTTGGGAGGCCAAGACGAGTGGATCACTTGAGGTCAAGACCAGCCTGGTCAACTTGGTGAAGCCCCATCTCTACTAAAAATACAAGAAATTAGCTGGGCGTGGTGGTGCATGCCTGGAATCCCAGTTACTTGGGAGGCTGAGGCAGGAGAATAGCTTGAACCCAGGAGGAAGAGGTTGCAGTGAGCTGGGATTGCACCACTGCACTCCAGCCTGGGTGACAGAGCAAGACTCTGTCTCAAAAAGACAAAACAGGCCAGGCGCGGTGGCTCAAGCCTGTAATCCCAGCACTTTGGGAGGCCGAGGAGGGCAGATCACGAGGTCAGGAGTTCGAGACCAGCCTGGTCAACATGGTGAAACCCCCTCTCTAGTAAAAATTAAAAAATTAGCTGGGCATGGTGGTGCGCGCCTGTAATCCCAGCTACTTGGGAGGCTGAGGCAGGAGAATCGCTTGAACCCAGGAGGCAGAGGTTGCAGTGAGCCAAGATCACGCCATTGTACTCCAGCCTGGGCAATAGAATGAGGCTCCATCTTAAAAAAAAAAAAAAAAAAAGGCCAGGGGCGGTGGCTCACGCCTGTAATTCCAGCACTTTGGGAGGCCGTAGCGGGCGGAACACAAGGTCAGGAGTTTGAGACCACCCCAACCAATATGGTGAAACCCTGTCTCTACTAAAAATACAAAAAAAAAAAAAACCAGGCGTGGTGGTGGGCACCTGTAATCCCAGCTACGTGGGAGACTGAGGCAGGAGAATTGCTTGAACTCAGGAGGCGGAGGTTGCAGTGAACCGCCACTGCACTTCAGCCTGGGCAATAGAGCGAGACTCCATCTCAGAAAAAAAAAAAAAAAAGCCAGGCATGGTGGCTCATGCCTGTAATCCTAGCACTTTGGGAGGTGGAGGCAGGCGGATCAGGAGGTCAAGAGATCAAGGCCATCCTGGCTAACACGGTGAAACCCTGTCTCTACTAAAATTACAAAAAATTAGCCGGGTGTGGTGGCGGGCGCCTGTAGTCCCAGCTACTCGAGAGGCTGAGGCAGGAGAATGGCGTGAACCCAGGAGGCAGAGCTTGCAGTGAGCCGAGATTGCGCCACTGCACTCCAGCCTGGGCGACAGAGCAAGACTCCATCTCAAAAAAAAAAAACCTCAATCCCACATCTCTCTCCAGGTCTCATCCTTGCCTTTTATTTATTTATTTATTTTTATTTATATATTTTTTGGAGATGGAGTTTTGCTCTTGTTGCCCAGGCTGGAGTGCAATGGCATAATCTCAGCTCACCGCAACCTCCGCCTCCCGGGTTCAAGCGATTCTCCTGCCTCAGCCTCCGGAGTAGCTGGGACTACAGGCATGCGCCACCATGCCCGGCTAATTTTGCATTTTCAGTAGAGACGGGGTTTCTCCATGTAGGCCAGGCTGGTCTCGAACTCCCGACCTCAGGTGATCCACCCGCTTTGGCCTCCCAAAGTGCTGGGATTACAAGCGTGAGCCACCGCGCCCGGCCACATCCTTGCCTTTTTTCCCTTTGCTGCTCCTTTTCTGCTTTGCCTTGGCCTTAAACTCTCAGGGTCGGGGGCATGAGAAGAGAAATGAAGGTTGCATCAGTAGCAGGGGGTGCTGCGGGAACTAGAGCAGGATTATGGGCAGTAGTGAACTCTGAAGAATTGAATCAGTTGGATCTCCCATGGATCTTGAGATTTTCTCCAATGTGTCCAGCAGCCTGGGTGTCCAGTCATGAGGAAAGCAGAAGGTTGGGGTTCTTCTGGGCTCACATTGTAGTAGAATGGGCCCAGCAATGTAAGGATGTTGCAGTGATACTTAACTGAGACCAGGCAGGAGGGATTGAGAAGGAGAGGGAATTGGAGGACTGAAGCCCTTGATAAGGGCTTAGAGGAGGGGTGAGGTGACCACAGGGCCAGCAGGCAGTTTTCAAAACTGTAAATACTGCATCCTTTGCTTTCAAAGATAGGTTAGCTCTGAGTGATGTGGAGGACCCTGGGGGAGGGGTAGGTGATGGGGATTCAGAGGAGATTAGGAGAGAAAACCTCAGTGGCTGCCGAGCAGGTCTCTCAAATGCACAGGGTCGTGAAGCATCTAAAACACTCCTAAAGGCAATTATGGCTGCAGTGGCAGTGACTCAGGTGTCTTGCTGCCAGCAACTGACTGACTTCCCCCATTCTCCTTGCAGCTAATTCAGGAATTTTGTTCCCTCTCAGCTTCTGCATACCGCTTTTTCTCTGAACATCTTCACTTGTGTGTCTTCTGCCATCAGCAGTTCTCTGAGTATCATTGGAACTCCAGAGCTTTGAGGCCAGGCCACCTTGCAGACTATTGACCTTTGGCTGATGATCTCATCCCATCTGCTGATGGCCAGGGTGGAGGGATCACATATAATAATTATGGTGATCTGTGCTGAAGGTGGCATTGCGAGCTCTGGAGTCCCAGGAGGGGCATTTTCTCTCCATCTTTGGTCTCTACGGGGCCCAGCTGGGGCCTACAGGAGGAATGGCAGGGAGGGGACCAGAGGCATGAGCCCTTTGGAGTCAGAAAGGCTGACCAGCTTTACAAGAGAGCACAAGAGTTGTGTCTAGTTCTGTCCACTTTCTCCTTAATTCACTGCAATGTGGCTTCTGCCACCATAAGGTCACGTCTTGGCACAAAAGGTAAGGAAGTAGAGACAGCTCTTTCAAGAAATTGGATTGTGAATGGGTAGAAAGGGGTGATAGATAGCAGGAGAGGAATGTGGAGTACAGAGAGTGTTGGATTTTGTTTTTGTTGTTGTTGTTGTTGTAGTTTTTAATATACTAGCAGAGACTTGAGCATGTTTATAGGCTGACAGACGAAGAAGCCAGTAGGGAAAGAGATGAAGGATGCAGGAGATTGTGGATAACTCACAGCATGAGGTTCCTGAGCAGGTAAAAGCAAATGGGATCCAGAAGCATGGAGGTAAGGGCCTCCCCAGGGAAGAGGAGGGATGACTTCCTGTAACAGGAGGGATGGAGTTGAGGACAGATATGTGTGCAGATAGGTCTGGAGGTGAAGATGGGACATGAGGGAGTTCAGAAGGCCTCTTATCTCCTCAAAGCAGTAGTCCAGCTCCATAGCTGAGAGTGGGGCAAGGAAGCTAGAGGGAAGGATGTGTGAGATAGTTGTTGCAGTTGGGAGAGGTGACTAGGGAGAGGTGACTAGAAGAGGTACAGGATAATGACCAGGCAGGGCTAAAAGCCCAGTGTAGGCTGGTGACCATGAACTTGTAGGGTCATTGGTCAGGGTGTGTGAGCTCTTAGCAGCACCCACAGGATAGGTGAGGACTCAGAAAAAGCACAGATGCATTCTTCCAGACTGACTTTAAGACAGGTAGGAATGAGGGAAGATGCATGAGGAGACTAGCAAGAGAGTACATGTAGTGAACGACCAAGGCATCCAAACTGGGCCAGGAGGGAAGTGAGGGAAAAGGGACAGGAGTCAGTGGCCTGGAGATCCCCATGAAGATGGGGTGGAGTGAGATGGACTATCCTAGGACAGGAACGTTGTAGCTATATGGTTTCCTAGGCAGCCGTAACAAAGTGCCACAAACTGGGGGGCTTAGAACAACAGAATTTATTGTCTCACCATTCTGGAGCTGGAAGTCTGAAATCAAGGTGTTGGCAGGGCCACACTCCCTCTGAAATCTGTGGGGGAATCCTTTCTTGCCTCGTCCTGGTGATTTGCCAGCATCCTTTGGCATGCTTGACTTATAGGTGCATCATGCCACTCTTCACGTGGCATTTTCCCTGTGTCTCCACCCCATCTTCCCTTTTTGTGTGTCTTTGTATCCAAATTTCTTCTTTTTGTAAGGACACCACTTATATTGGATAAGGGCCCACCCTATGAACTCATTTTAATTTGACTATCTCTATAAAGGCTGTATTTCTAAATAAAGTCACATTCTGAGGTACTGGGGATGA
The DNA here is from genome assembly GCF_000001405.40 of Homo sapiens. Lineage (NCBI taxonomy): Eukaryota > Metazoa > Chordata > Mammalia > Primates > Hominidae > Homo > Homo sapiens. The sequence goes on along the minus strand of NC_000009.12, from coordinate 34,605,500 downwards.
AGATATCTATAAATGGTTTTGGTTGGGGGGCAATGGGAGTGGAGGGCACAATTTAACCCATAACCACAGCTAAAGGATGGGAAGGTATTAATAGGGTTGAGGGTTTTTGGAGCTGATAGGATTTGTGGGCATGAGAGTGGATGGCTGGAGGGTCTGGAGACAGAGACACGGAAGATGAGCTGGTGAGTTGAGGCTGGGAAAGGTGAGGTGGGGAGCATTCTGGTCGGCAATGGAGTCATCCAGGATGGAATGCGTTGAGCATTCTCACTACCTGTCTTAGAGGTGGCATGTCTAGCCACCTTGTGTTTGTTCCCTTGAAATGGGGACATCAGAACACAATATGCCTGGAGGAGTTATGTGCCTCCCATATCCAAGCAGGCACCAAGTTCTGCCCATTTTGCCTTCTAGGTCTCCATCCCCAAAGCCTCTGTTGGTTTGTGCCACTCATTATCGCTCAGCAGTTTCCATACTCATCGCTGTGCTTCACTCCCCTTGGAGCTCTCCCCCAAACCAAGCCACTGGCTATTCCCTTTGTTTAGAATGCTCTTCCCCCCATACTTGCATGGTTATCTCCCTCCCTCCTTTAAGTCTTTGCTAAAATGTCACCTTCATGAGGCCTACTCTGGCCACTTCATTTAAAATTGCAGTCCAGCACTTTCGATCTTCCTTACCCTGCCTTTCCCCCACTCCAGTTTTTCTTAACCTCTATGATATTTACGTCTTTAAAATAATACTTTTGTTTATTGTCTCCTCCTGATGAGAATGTAAGCTCCAAAAGGGAAAGAATCTTTGTTTCATTCCCTTATGTAACCTAAGGATCTTGAACATCACTTGGCACATAGTAGGTACTCAATAAATATTTAGTGAGTAAATGAATGAATATTGAGCCACCCGCCCCCAATATGGGGCCATACTCAGATCTGACCTTGTCATTCTTCTATTCCCTTAGCCTCCATGCCAAGATTAGAGGACAGGATCCAAGTTCATTCACTACATTCACTAGATGTTTGGTTTTTGTTTCTTTTCCTTTTTCTTTCTTTCTTTCTTTTTTTTTTTTTGAGATGGAGTTTTGCGCTTGTCACCCAGGCTGGAGTGCGATGGTGCAATCTCAGCTCACTGCAACCTCTGCCTTCCAGGTTCAAGCGATTCTCCTGCCTCAGCCTCTGAGTAGCTGGGATTACAGGCATGTGCCACCACGCCCGGCTAATTTTGTATTTTTAGTAGAGACAGGGTTTCTCCATGTTGGTCAGGCTGGTCTCGAACTCCTGACGTCAGGTGATCTGCCCGCCTCAGCCTCCCAAAGTGCTAGGATTACAGGCCTGAGCCACCGTGCCCAGCCCACTGGGTGGTTTTAAAGGACCCCTTTGCTTGGCCCCTGCCCATGGCTTAGTCCGTCTTTGGCCTTGTCCTGTTGGACCCTAGGCTCTGACCACAGTCACACTTCCCAAGTGCCATAAGATTTTCTGCCTCTGAGTCTTTGTTCTTGTCATTCTGTCTGCTTGGAACTCATCAAGAATGTTTAAAGGACACAGGTGCTGGCCTCTGAGCACTCCCTTGGGACCTACTACCTCCCCACTCCTTACTGTAATACTTGTCTGGTCCAGCTCTCACATTGATAGGTGATGTTCTGGCTACACTCACTTCTGGCTGTGGCCACAAGGTGGCAGCATTTGCAAAGGGATAGCCCATTCCTTTCCAGGGTCTGTGCAGAGGGCCTCAGGAGTCCCAAGACACAGAGACTTGAAATTTGATCCTTAATGGGCTCAGTGACCCCTCAGTTATTCAACAAACAGCTGATGATCATCCACAATGTGACAAATATAGTCACTGGGCTTGGAACCTCCAACCCCAAGAGGGCTATAGCCACATATATAATTTCCCTATGGAGGCTGGGCGTGGTGGCTCACGCCTGTGGTCCCAGCACTTTGGGAGGCCGAGGCGGGCAGATCATTTGAGGTCAGGAGTTCGAGACCAGCCTGGCCAACATGGTGAAACCCTGTCTCTACTAAAAATACAAAAATTAGCCGGTGCTGATGGTGCACGCCTGTAATCCCAGGTACTTGGGAGGCTGAGGCAGGAGAATGGCTTGAACAGAGGAGGTGGAGGTTGCAGTGAGCCAAGATCCAGCCACTGCACTCCAGCCTGAGCAACAGAGTGAGACTCCATTTAAAAAAAAAAAAAAAAGTTTCCCTATGGTGTGACAAGTACACAGATTAGGCAGGTTTACTGCTGCATGAGTTCAGACAGAGCCCGTATTCCAACTTTTAGAGACACACAAAGATTTAAAGAAGAGAAGGTGATACCTCTGTGGAATCTTGAATAGCTTAGGAGAGAAGTGGGCATGACATTCCAGGTGAAGGGAAGCGATAAGCCAAGGCATAGAGGCAGCATAGAGATGATCACTGGAGCATGAAGTTCAAGGCAGAGAGTAAGGGATGAGGCTCAGAAGTGAGTGGGGGTCAGACAGAGAGGCCTGCAAGCCTGGCCAAAGGTGCTTGGACTCTATCTTGAGGGAGATGGAACGTCACTGAAGGCTTCAAGGTGGGAGTTCTGTGGAATATCAGATTGTGTTTAGAAAGAGAACTCTGGCTACAATGTGGAGAGTGGATTGCAGTACAGGGCAGGAAGAGCAGTGAGAAAGCTGCTGTAGGGATCCAAGGGGTAGTCAGTGAGGCCAAAATTATAAGCAGAGCAGGCCCGGAAGAAGCTCCTCCCAGCCCACAAGGCCATTCAATGCCTGGCACTTTGAAAGGGTTCTTGGCCCTAGGAACTTTCTCCCCCACCATCTGAGCCACCTCAGCCCCTCTGTTCCTGAGATTCCTTTTGGTGCTATCTCAGCTCCTCTGATTATTCTAGCTGGAACCAAGGGCTTTGTCAGTTTCCATATGGAGGCCACTGTGTCCTAGGTAGCTCTATGTTGGTAGATTTGTCAGACTGCAGCTCAGCCTACACCCCAGCCTCTCTCAGTGTGACCCTTTCAAGCACCCCCAGTTAGGAATGTGACTGAAGGATCGCCTCCACCAGGGAGCCAAGATGAGCCCTGCTCACCCCTGTCATCTCCTGCTACTCCTTACCAGAGGCCACTGGCAGGACTGACGCTGAGGGAAAGGCATCCCCTGCAGGCAGAGGAGCATAACCTGAAGAAAGGCCTAGAGGTAGGAAAATGCAAAAGATGTTTGGGGAGGAGGGGCTGGCATCGTTAGCAGGGTCTGGCAGGGAGAGGTCAAGGCCTACAAAACCAGGCTCAGAGCCATACCATACACTACAAAGCAGGGGATACCATAGCCAGGTTTTGAGCAGGGATTGAGAGTCACCTTCATTCATTATCTCATGAATATGCACAGAAACCTGTTGAATTATTCAAATAGAAAGGATGTAAATGTGTATGCAAATTTGGCGCTGCCCTCCCTGTTGCTATGGAAACCAGAGAATAGCAAAGTAAGGGTCCAACACCCTGGGGAGACCAGGCTAGAGAGACTGAGGCCACGAAACTCCTTTGTCCCTCGCCCACTTTTCCCACTCCTAATGTTTTGATCTCTTTCTTTGCCTAGCCCTGTCTTTGCTTCCTTCTGCCTTGTCCTCTGTCCATCTCTCTGCCTCTCTTGATCTTGCTGTCGCTGTCCTCCTCTCTCTCTTCTCCATCTCTCTATCTCTCAATTTTTTTTTCTCCCTGTCTCTGTGTTTCTCTGTCTGAGTCTGTCTCCACATTGTTGCTCTGTGACTGAGACAGTTTCTCTCTGATTTCATATCCCTCCCTATCTTGGTCTCTGTGTCTTTAATTCCATGGCTCTCTCTTCTGCATTTCCCTGTCTGTGTCCCTGACTCACATCTCTTTCTCTGCATCTTTGTTTTTGTGCCTGACTGTGTCTCTGAGAGTTTCTATTTCTCGGTCTGTCTCCCAGGCTCTCTCTTCTCTCTTTTGCTCTGATTCTATCTCTCTGAACCTTTTGTCTCAATGCTTGTCTTTATCTAACAAGAAGGACAAGAAGCTGCACATCTGTCCTTACCTGATGGGACGTTCCACCCCTTGCCCAGCTGCCCACATGTTCAAGGATTCCTGGCTTCTCTCCCCACATAAAATCCTGTTTCGGGTCTGGCCCCCATCACTGTACTGGCATAGGATCCTCATGACAGGCCCAGGCTGGCTACCAGGACACCAGACTCCTGTCTCAGCCTCTGCCTGCCGTGTGCCCCTGCCCAGAGTTTCTCCCTCTCTGGCTCTGTATTCCCAGCACTCTGCTTGAAGCTGGTGGGCACCTTGAGGCAATGGTGTGTTGGGAGTAGGGAAGTGATGGGGAAGTCTTAGTGGCTCACCCATCTGGCTGTCTGCCCAAGAGCTGACGTGAAGGGGCTGGCCAGGGCCCAGGTGTGGCAGCATCTAGGGCTAGTTGAGACCAATCCTGACCCCCAAAGAAGACTCCTTGTTGAGTCACAAAGTTGAGCAGCAGCCTTTCCATAGTCTCTCCATGTTCCTGCCTGCTACAGCCTCAGCCATTCAGTTCCTTGTTTGGAGTCCTCTGTTTGCCCCTCCTTCATTTGGTTTATATTTAATGAGCACCTATTCTATGCCATGCCCCCTGCCTTCACAGGTCCACAGTGACATGGAAATGACATCTGGATTTCTTGTGTTCGCCCCACCACCACCACCAAGAAGGAGCTTTTTGGACCAGGTGAAGAACACAGACTCTTCAACCCCTGCAGTTTCTTATCCCTGGTGGTCTTAGCTTAGGGGTGCAAGGCTTATGCAGTTGCCAAAGTCATAGATCGAGATTGAGAAGACAGAGACACATAGATAGAGACAGAGATAGGAAGAGCCAGAGACAAGAGAAACTAGATCTATGGAGGCAATGTGCTTCCACACAGGGTTTGGGATGGGGTATGGGAGGCTCAGAGCAGAACTTGGATGAGGGTGGGCCAGAATGTTTTGAGGTCAGGTAAGCAACTCTGTGTGGAGGTAGAGGGCTACCCCTTTCAGTTCTGGCCTTTGGGCAGGTTGCCTCACCTCCAGGCAGGCACTAGCTATGGGGATCTGGCCTGGGTCCAGGTGTGGGGGCGGCCCAGAACAGTCAGGACAAGTCCCCCCTCCTCCAAGAGGACTGCCAGAGTGAGCCCCCAGCTCTTCTGCCCAGTCAGAAAGGGCCATAGACAGAAGTACTCACCCCAACGATTGTGGTTCACCTATGTTCAGGCTCAGGCATGACCCTGCTGCCATGAATGCCATATTTAAATTTACCTTCCTGGACACCCCTACCCTACCTCACCTAGGCCAATTGTGCCAGAGGGTTGGAGCAGGGTCATGCAGGCAGGGCCAGATACAAGGAGAGCCAAAGAGATCAAGAGAAAGACAGTAAAAGACAGAGACAGAGGATAATGTTGATAGAGAAAATGGGGAGAAAGGCCGTGACAGAGGAGACATAGACATCAACTGGGAGGAAGCCAAAGCCAGCAGACGAAGGGGGCTTTAGCACCTGCTAGGGCTAGCACTAAGCACTTGACTGGATTATCTCATTTAACTTAATCTTCACCACAGTCCTAGGAAATAGGCACTGTTATGATCCCATTTTACTTCTGAGGTAATTGAGACCTTAAGTCACTTTTTGAGGCCACAAAGCCAGTAGGTAGTAGAGTAGGTATTTGAACCCCTCTGTCTCTAACCAAAAAGCCAGGGAGAGAGACAGACAGAGACAGAGGCAGGCCCAAATCTCCACACCAGCACTTGGGGAATCTAGGAATCCTGAAATCTCTGGACAGCTGTGCAGGGGGAGGGCCTTCCCATCAGTCTTACAAAAGTGCAGCTTCTGGTCCTTTTGCTAAGAGACAAGGACTGCAACGTAGAGAAAGAGAGACATCCAAGCAAGGAGAGAGCTTCCAGGCCACAGAATTCCTTATCTGACCTTGTCACTTCCTGCTACCCTGGTGTGTAGCCTGTACTGCCCCTGTTACAGATCTGGCCAGCCAACACCTCCCTCTGGTGGGGTCCAGGCTTTGAGATCTGTTTTTCTCCACATATTTATTGAGCACCTGCTAGCTGACGGGCACTCCTGCCCTACATCTACCTCCTCCCTTTCTTTTTCACTATTGCAAAATTGTTCCCATTGTCTAACTTCAACTCCCTAGGTTCTGCAAAAAGGGATTATTAAGACTAGAATTTGGGATGCCTCAATATGAAGAGGTTAGCCTGGTATACACTAAGCTTTTCTGAGAGCAGAGAAAAGGTCCCTGAGGGCTGGCTTTGGGTGCCTTCTGGTTGGACGCCCCTTCTAGTTGGTTTGAGGAGGAGGGTCAGCAGCCCAGCTGCTGGGGGCCTGGGAGAGCTGAGCTGTCAACAGCAGGGAGGATCGGGGTGAGAAGAAAACCAGGAGCTATCCTGGGGGAGCCGCAGAGTCAGCGTTATGGTTTCTAATGTCTTAGCCCTGGTTTCAATTACCCCCAGGGTCCCCAGGGTTCCCCAACCACTGCATGCTCCTGAGCTTGAGGAAGGCTCAGAACTCTCCTGGGGAGACCAAAAACCAGGGCTCAGGGATGGAAGTCTAGGGGCCTGGGAGGAGCTTTTTGATTCTTCTGCCTGGCTGAGAGAGGCCCCCAACCCAAGCAGGGCTCCAGGGAACAGCATGGAGGCTGGGGAAGGAGGGGTCTACACTCTACTCACAGGCCCCTGTGGAGGAGTCTACACCAGCCTGTTCCATACCCCTAGCTTCGTCCCCTTGGCCCCACCCCTCTCCTGGCTGCTGAAGACCTGGGCTCTTCCTTGGTCCTACCAGGCTATTTCTGGCCTCATGCAACCCTGATTCTTCTATCCCTAGGACCACTACACCTTCCCTGTCTTCTGGAAGTCCCTCATCTTTCCTCTGTTTTATTTTTATTTTATTTATTTATTTATTTTAGTTTTTTTGAGACAGAGTCTTACTCTGTCACTCAGGCTGGAGTGCGGTGGTGTGATCTTGGCTCACTGCAACCTCTGCCTCCCGGGTTCAAGCGATTCACCCGCCTTAGCTTCCCAAGTAGCTGGGATTACAGGTACCCACCATCACGCCTGGTTAATTTTTGTATTTTTAGTAGAGATGGGGTTTCACCATGTTGGCCAGGCTGGTCTCCAACTCCCAACCTCAGGTGATCTATCTGCCTCAGCCTCCCAAAGTGCTGGGATTACAGGAGTGAGCCATCGCGCCCAGCCCTTTATTTTTATTTTTATTGATTTATTTTTGTTTTATTTATTTATTTATTTTTACTACTCCCCCCGCCCCCAATTTTGTTGTTGTTGTTAAGACACAGTCTCAGTCTGTTGCCCAGGCTGGAGTGCAATAGCGCAATCATGGCTTGTTGCAGCCTCTACTTCCTGGACTCAAGTGATCCTGCCACCTCAACCTCCTAAGTATCTGGGACTACAGTTGTGTGCTACCACACCCAGCTAATTTTTATATTTTTTGTAGAGACAGGGTCTCAGTATGTTGCCCTGGCTGGTCTCAGACTCCCAGGCTCAAGGTGATCCGCCAGGCTTGGCCTCTCAAAGTGCTGGGATTACAGGTGTGCATCACCATCCCTTTCCTCTCTTTTAATCATGGGTTCCCAGAGTTTTAGTTTCAATCCTCCTCTCCTCTTCCTTTCTTATCACACCCCCTCCCTGTTCTCTGATCTATCTCATCATCCCCTAGCACCATCATAATGCCCAGGTTAGTCTGAGACTCTAAATGCCCAAGCCTCCAGCACATGCTGAGCATAAAGGATGCTGGGAACTGTTGAACAGGGGTTACATACCTAGTTGTCACACCATAGACCCTTCAACTGAATATGTCAAGTCCCTTCTCTCTCCCCAGCTCGGTGAATGGTACCATCATCTCCTAGTCTCTCAAGCCAAAAACATGGGAGTCATCTGTAGTTTTGTACACAATGTTCCCTCTAGGCCTGGCACACAGTAGGCACCAATAAACGTCTGTTGAACTGAATTTAATTCAGTTTTTTCTCTTGGAGTCTCCCTCTGCCTCTGTCTATTTCCCTCAGACATGGTAACGCTGGCATTAAGTTTCCAAATCTCTGACTTTTATCTGCCTTCCCAATCACCACAGTTGAGTTTCTGGGGGAAAGTTGGGGCCTTTTATCTTCCCTCTCCCCTACTTCAGAGAATCACAGGCTGGCAGGAAATAGAGCCATGGGAGGCGAAGGGAGGGATCCAATCTTAGGGACACATGGTCCTCAGGCCTTCCTGGAAATCCCAGCTGTTATCCAGGACCCAGCTCTATAGCAGCAGAGAGCAATGTCAGACTCTGGGTTGGTACTAGGGGGGACAATCCTTTGAGGATAGTTTTCTCCTCCATGAGGAATGGTGGGTAGGTGGGATCAGTGCCCACTGGGGTGGGGAAGCATGAAGGGACTTTGTGCTTCTGAGCAGGGAATTTGTTCATGCAAATTTTTGCAAAATGAAAAATTGTATCTGTGATTTTGCAAACGTATGCCCCTGCTCCCACCTTTGATGCACAGTCCCCTGACTCCTAGTTTCTCCATCTTCCCTATCCCTGCCCCCACCTCCCACTCCCTCTCCCTGTCCCTCTTCTGGATACTCTGCTCCCTTTCTCCCCACCTGCTTCTCTTTCCACACTTAGCCCAAACTTTGGGATCACCCAGCAGGAGGGTGCTTGGGAGAGCAGACACAGGACTAAGTGTCCAGCGAGCCCGTTCTCTGTATATAAAGTGACATGGGAGATCCTCCGGGGGTCATGGGAGCAGATGAAGCAGATGAATCTGATGTCCTGCCCCTTTCCCAAACCCTGTCCTCTCTCTGCTTGCCCCAGGTCAGGCTGGAGATCTCTTTCTTATGGGTCACCGTAGATACCTCTCTGTGGCTGCCCCACCTCCAGCCTCCGCCATCCTCACCACCCTCTACCCAGCAGCCTCAATAGTCTTGCTAAAACTCCAATGTGTTTATATTCCTGACTTCTTTATGCCCTTCTATGCCTCAACAGCCTTGGCCCCAAAGGCATTTCAGGATGTGGTGTCTGAGCCACTCAGGTTGCCTCAGCCTGCCTTCCGGTCTCTGCCACCTCACTAGTCACTAAACCTCTTTCCCATCCCTCAAGGCTGCGACCCATTCATCTAGGCTCCCACCCCTGTGCTCTGGAGCTTCGGTTTACTTCTCACAGGTCAAGGTTGTCCTACTTAATTGCTTGCATCATTCATTCCATCAACATTTATTTAAATCTATTTCAAACGTTGAGCACACCTGTTCTATGCCAGACCCAACTCTACGTGACTGGAGATGGAGGCCACAGGGCTGCCCTCATTGGAGCTCACATGCATCACAGAAGTAACTAGATAATTAGACATCAAACTAACTACTATAAGGAAAAAGAGGATGGCACTGTGAGGGAGGACAAAAGGGCTTAGTATAGGCCTCTCTTAGGTGTCATTTAGGCTGCCACCTCTTGCCTGACGGGGCTGGGGAACCAGACTTGGGACTTTTGCATGAACAAATATATACAGTGCACAGTTTTGTTTGTTTGTTTGTTTGAGACGGAATCTCGCTCTGTCACCCAGGCTGGAGTGCAGTGGCACAATCTTGGCTCACTGCAAGCTCTGCCTCCCGGGTTCATGCCATTCTCTTGCCTCAGCCTCCTGAGTAGCTGGGACTACAGGCACCCACCACTACGCCCAGCTATTTTTTTTTTTTTGTATTTTTAGTAGAGATAGGGTTTCACCGTGTTAGCCAGGATGGTCTCGATCTCCTGACCTCGTGATCCGCCCACCTCAGCCTCCCAAAGTGCTAGGATTACAGGCATGAGCCACTGCGCCTGGCCTACAGTGTACAATTTTAATGCATGTGTACAGTTGGCCCTCTATATCTGTGAGTTCTGCATCCTCTGATTCAACCAACCACATTAGGAAAAAAAAAGCAATAAAAATAGAAATACAACAATAAAAAACAATACAAATAAAAACCAAAACAGTATAACAACTATTTACATAACACTTACATTGTATTAGATATTACAAGCAATCTAGAGCTGATTTAAAGTAGATGTGGGGATGTGCTTAGATCATACACAAATATTATGCCATTTATTATATAAGGGACTTAAGCATCCTCAGAGTTGGTATCCTCAGGGGGTCCTGGAACCAATCCCCCACAGATATCAAGGGACAACTGTATACTTGTACCACTCTCCCCCAACAGCAGTAACTACAATTCTGATTTCTGTCACCATACGTTAGTTTTGCCTATTCTTGAGCTTCATATAAATGAAATCATTCATTATGTACTCTTTTTGTGTCTTTTTTCCCCTTTGCTCAACATTTTGTCTGTGAGATTTATTCACATTGTTGTATGTAGCTGGTTGTTTTCCATTGCTGTACTTACATCACGATCTGTTTATCTATTTGTGTTGTTTCCAGTTTGGGGCTATCATTAGTAAAGCTGCTACGAACATTCTTGGTAAACATATTTGATCATTCCTCCTGGGTATATATCTAGGAACGGACTTGCTAGGCCATAGAATAAATATATGCACAGCTTTAGTGGATACTGCCACACAGTGTTTCAAAGTGGTCGTACCAACTTAACATGCACTAGCATTCTATGGAGTTCTAGTTGCTCTATGTCCTTGCAAGGGCAGATATTTTTGTCTGGTTCACTACTTAGATCAATGCCTGGCATACTGTAGGTGCTCAATATATATTTATTGACTGACTCAGGAAGCGGGGAGCCATCAGCATTCTTGAGGTACTGCTCTGGCCAAGGCACTAACTTGCTGTGTGACTCTGAGCAAGTGACTCCCTTTCTCTGGGCTGTTTCTCTGTCTGCAGCATAAGGGGACCAGCACTAGGGGCTTTATTTTTCAGTGCCAGCTGGGTGCTATGAAAGCTAGACACCTGTTCATTCATTTACTTCACTTGTATTGATTAAGGATGCCACCTACTATGTGCTAGGATGGTGAGGATATGATCTGTGACATGCCACTGACAGTGTCCTTCAGGTCAGCCAGGGCCAGGGGTCACTGCCCATCTTGTCCCCAAGTCATCTTCCCGGAGCCCGCTCCTCCTCCCTCTGTCCAGCCCTGACCCTGGGGGGAGGGGGTCTGGTCTGAGACTGAGGATGGAAAATGTGATTAATAATCAAAAAACATCCAAGAGGAAGAGACCAGGAAAACAACTTGAGGAAGGCTCCTCGCCCGGGGGAGGGGGGCCATGTCCTGGGCCTCGGGACAGCTCCGGCCGCCCTCCCGCCGCCCTTTCTGGGAAGCTGCCACAGGAGTGGATAATTTTAGCCAAAAGTGAAAAAAAAAAGTCACCCTAATTATTTATTTTTTAAAAAGATGCCCCCTAGTGTAAATTATGCTTCCCCTGGGGGCTTCCCTCTTCTCTGTTACCCCCCTCCTAATGGTGCCCCTGCTTGGTCAGGCTGGAGGGCCCTGGAGACACTGGGCTGGGGGCAGAGAGGAGGAATTTCAACATGAAATGTTTTGTTCATTAACAGAGAACATAGGGGGAAATTCCCTTTCTGCCTGGGCCCAGGCGGCCCAAGCAGACACTCAAAAGCTATCGTGAAAAATGGAGTCTAGGCTGCAGAATGGGGTGGGGGTTATGTTGGGGGGCGCACAACAGACATTGTCTCCCCTCTTCTCAGACTCCTGACTTCCAGGGGTTTCCTGAGCCTTAATCTTTCTGCCTTTTGGTGATTTTGTTCCCGATTCCTCAGGTTACTCTCAAAATTTCTTTTTAGCAAACGAGAGGAACTGGGATTAGACTGGAGTTAGAACTTCCACTGGAGGAGGAAGAAAGGATATCAAAGGGCGGGAGGGGAGACCTTGGACCTGAATAATTTAGAATTCTGACAGAATATATTGGAATCGATAGGCAGCAAATCTGAGGGGGACCTGGACAGGAATGAAAGCCCCTCTCTATCAGAGTGAATTTAGAGGGCCCTGGTGAGAAGGGAAGAGGAGATAGTTCCAGGAACTGGGGGTAATTCAAGGTTGGATACTTAGTTTCCCCCATTCTCTACCTTTAGGGGATCTTTGCCCTTTCTGGTGACAGAGGTTGGAAGGGTCAGGGCACACAGGCAGCCGTCCAGATGATAGGATCCCAGAAGGGGGTGTGCAGGATGGGGATGTTGTGAGTGGGCCCCAGGTACTATCTCCGGATGGTGCTGGGAGCTGTCTCTGGATGCAGGGGTAAGTCGTCCCTAGGGGCCTGGGCTGGACCCTGAGTGGGGGGGTTTTGGGCCCCCCTCCCTGGCTCGGCCCGGCCCGGGGCTCTGTCGGATCGGGTTTCTCGGCGCCTGGAGCCTCCGCGAGGCCGAGCTGTTCCCGGGCCCCGGCCAAGCCGCCCCGGGCGCTGGCACTGTGTGAGGAAGCAGGCGGGGTGAGGGGGAGCAAGGGCGGGGGCTTGAGGGCGTTTACGTAACTGCCTCCTGGAGCCCGCCCCAACCCGCCAAACCCCAGTGTGATTGAGAGCGTGTGTGACTCTGTGTGTGCCTGTGTGACACTCAGTGTGACCGAGTTCATGGCTGTGTGTGTAACTGTGTCTATGTGTGGGTATGGTGTGTGTGACTCAGGGACTCTCCTACTCTTTTGGGACCTCTAGTTCCTAGCCCAAGCTGGGGACCCTGACTCTCAGTGTACCATAGTGAAGTTGAATATACACCTTTTACTGTTTGAGATTGGGTGTGTGACTTTATGTGACCATGTGTTTGGCATTTGTAATACAGAGAGCCTGTGTGTGAGAGTGTGTGTGTTTGTAACTTTGGAGAGCCAGGTGTGTGCTGCAGGGAGAAACTTTCTGATGGTATTGCAAGTTAGAAACCAGCACCGTTTCCTAAAGGAGCACTGGAAAGGTAGACCATAGGGGATGGGGAGGGAGCTCTCCTTCCTCGGAGACATGTCAGTAAGAATAAGGAAGGGTCTTTGCTTGCCCAAAGGCTTGGAATGGCACAATTGATCCCTTGGTGTGTGTGTGGGGGGGTCCAAGTTTAGGTCACCTGCCAGGGTGGAGGGTGGTGTCAGAAATCCTGGCCATAGAGCCCCTTTCATGGTAGAGAACTCCAGGAACTGAAAGTCAACGAGGAACTTCCCATATTTCCCCAGGCGCAAATGTGAGATCCCCATCACGTGCAGGGCACAAGGGATCTGGCCTGGGGGTGTTACTTCCAGCCACTCCATCATGGGCAAGGTAGATGGTGAAGATTGGAAAGGCAGTGAATTCTTGGAGATGGAGTTGGGGAGAGGATGTCAGTGAAGTGGGGTTTGGCTTAAGGATAAGTGACATGACACAGAAGGGGGCTGGCGCAGAGCTGGGGAGGCCGGGAATAGGGGCGCTTAATAAAGGTGGAGAGGAGGCAGGGCCAGATCCTGCAGGGCTTTGAAGCCCCACCTAAGAAACTCAACTTTGCCCCCAAGGCGGTGGGGAGGGCTCAGCACTGAGGCTTACAAGCTCAAAGGCTACTGTGTAGGTAGGGCATCAGAGGCGGCAGGAGCGGAAACCACTACTAGTCTGTTGACCCAGCTCTGGGGGGAGGAAAATTGGTTGTGAGCCGGGTGGCGGCTGTGTGGAGAGGTGGCAGCCCCCGGTGTTCAGTAGGTGGCCGAGGCCTCAGCGCGGAGCAGGAGCAGCAGCCAGAAGGGAACGCACGTCCCGCACCGTCCGCCAGGTGTCGCTTCGGCCCCGGGGAAGCGCTCGAGGCCGCTGGGTCCCGCGCCGGGAGGAGCTGCTGACCGACTGACGCCTGGACAGAGGTCCGACGTGCGCCTCTTCCCTTCCTTTATCGTCTGACATCCACACGTCCACTTCCAGGACCCCGGACTCCCAGTGCGGATCTTGTCCCCGCAGCCGTGGACTGCTGCTCTGCCGACAGCAGCCTCTGCGTCCCCGGGGGCCGAGGGGGACGTTGGACCGGGACAGAATTCCCGACTGCTCCCAACCTGGCAGAAAGAGGCTGAGCCAGGGACACCAGGGCATCTGGAGGTCAAGTCCGTTCCCCAAACCACTCGCCAATTTTCACCCCGTCCGCCCCTCCCCGGCCGGATTAGAGCGCCGAGGCCGGTCAGCCCCCTGGGGAGGAGCGGCCCCCGGTGTACCGAACCTTGCCAGGGCCTAGAGCTTCGCCGCAGGGGCAGGGGCAAGTCCTGCTCCCCTCAAGATCCCGTCGCAACGCCCCCTTCCTTCCCCGCGTCCACAGTCTAATCCCGGTCTGCGGCACGGGAAGCAGGAGGCCGGCGGCCCAGAGAGCCCGGGGAGAGGACACCTTGTGTGGGCGGCTGTGCGCTGACCCTCAGCGGGGCGCAGCTAGTTTGCTGTGTGTCCTGAAGTCCTAGCTGGCCGTCTCTGAGCTCCAGCCCATGCCGACCCCTGCCAGTTGTAGGAAGGGGATTCTGTGGCCACGGAAGTGAAAGTGAAAAGCCCAGGCCGTGGCGGGAAGAAGGATTTTCCTCTGCAGTGGGAGTCCCTGAGGCATTTGTTGGGAAAGGGCCCGGGCGCTCTAGGCAGCCTACTGGGGAAGGATGTGAGGAAACATGGAGACATTTCCCTCCCTTCTCCTCGCCCTCAGCCCTAGAGCAGCTCCCCGGAGGGGCAGGGCCCAGGATTATGGGTCAAGGGTCAGGTGACAAATCCAAGGGGTGGAGACGGGGGTGGCTTTCTCGGTCTCTGCCTCTGCCATTGCCACTCCATTGCGCTTTCACGTGGCCTCAGAAGTTGGTCAGGTTGTCCAACCTTACTCTCCTATGTTGCAGCCAGACCGGAGGCCCAGGGACGAGTGCAGTGAACACCCCGGCCCCTCAGAGGCCCAGGCTGCGAAGGGAGTGAGCCTCCTATCGAGGGGTGCGCCTGTGCCCGGCATTGAGAGTGCACCCTCCCTACCCCTTCATTCCAGTGGAGGCTTCTCCCCCGGCTGTGTGTCCTCGGGGCGCGAGGAACATGCGAGTAGTGGTGTTGGTGTCATCGGAGACACTGGAGGCATGGGCCTGGGCTCCCGGCAGGGTCCATCCCCGGTCAAGGAAGCCCCTTTCCCCCGCGCGAGGGGGTGACCGGGAGGGGAGTCGTTGCGGGGGGCAGTAGCAATAGGGGAGAGGCGGAGCCGGCTGGCTTCTTCTGCCCAAAGTGGGGGTTGGGGGTTCTGGCTCGCGTTCCTCTCACGGCGACGCCGGAGGGAGGACCCCGAGAGTTGGCCCGGGGTGTGCCAGGGAGTCGGTGCGAGGCCGTCAGGGCCTGAACGTGCGGGAGTGTGCGCAGGAGAGACCTGGCTAAGGCCGAGAGGGAGAGTGAGTGTGAAGGAGCGATCCCGGGGGTGAGTGCGCGCCCAGCCGCCCTAGGGGAGCGGGCCGAGTGGGTGTGTGTGTGTGTGTGTGTGCGCGCGCGCGTTTGCGAGACCCGCGGCCGGGGCTGCGCGTGAAGCACGGGGACCACAGCCGTCTTGAGGGCGCGCCCGAGAAAGGGTGAACGCGAGGGGGCCACGCGTGCCAGTGCGGACGAGTGTGCCAGCGGGGGGGCAGAGCGCGTGCCAGTGCTGGGCGAGTGGGAGTGGGGGCTCACAGGCCCGCGCAGGGCGAGCGGACCGCGTGTGCCAGGAGCGAGAGCGTGCCAAGGCGGGGGCGCGCGGGGCCCGTGGCGGGGAGGGGTCGTGGCGCGCGGCCGCGGAGGCGCGGGGAGACAAGGCAAGAGGGGGAGGGGAGCGAGGGCGCGCGCGGCCGAGCGGGCGCCCGCGGTCACATGGGCGAGAGAAGGAGGGAGGGAGCGCGCGAGGGAGGGAGGAGGATGGGGGGGTTAAAGCCGCCGAGCGCTGAAGAGCCGGTGCAGAGCGGGCGGCGGCGGCGGCGGCAGCGGAGGCGGCGGCTCCAGCCGGCGCGGCGCGAGGCTCGGCGGTGGGATCCGGCGGGCGGTGCTAGCTCCGCGCTCCCTGCCTCGCTCGCTGCCGGGGGCGGTCGGAAGGCGCGGCGCGAAGCCCGGGTGGCCCGAGGGCGCGGTGAGTACCCTGCGGCGGAGTGCGCGCGGCCGGACCCTCAGAGCCCGGGCTGACCAGCAGACCGGCGGCCCTCATGCGTGCGGGAAGAGTGAGGGGACACCCGTGGGCCCACGGACGGGGGCGACAGGAAAGTTCACGAGAAACTTTGCCTGCAAACTCGGGGGCGGGGGCGCTGGAGGAGCGGCCCCCCACGTCCGGGCGCTCCGGGGGTTGGGCGTGGTGGTGGTGGTGGGGCCGACTGTGGACTAGAGGGAGGTGGCTCCGGCGGTTTGTCCTAGTGTCCCTGTTCTCCCCACCCCTCAGCTGCACGCGCGGGGTCTGGAAAAATTCCTGGGTTTGGGGAGGTTCGTAGTGGCCTTTGCGCGCCCAAAGGTGGCTTCTTTCTCGGGCAGAAATCTGGACTTCAAAGCGCCCGGGGATGCGAACCGACGGTTGCGCGTCTGCCAGTGCATGTGTGTCCGTGTGAATCCGCGCGCCCGCGCGCGCGTGTGTGTGTGCATGTGTGTGTCGGTCGGCGTCCCCATGGTTTTCTCTTCAGTCCGCCTGGATGTATCTCCATGTAGTGGGTCTCCTCCAGTGTGTCTCTTTGTAAGTCTTCCTGGCTTGTGCGAGTCTGCCTATGGTGTATCCCCAAGTGTCTCTTTGTGAGTCTGCTCGTGTGTGTCTCCTCCAGTGCGGCTCAGTGTGAGCCAGTCTGGGTGTCCCTGTGTTGCTCCGAGTAGTGTATCTCCGCGTGCGTGGGGGCTGGGCCGTGGGGAGGTCACCAGACGGACAGCTCTCCCTCTCGGCTCCTCTCCTCTCCCGAGCCTCTCCTCCAGCGTTAGCTCGCTCGCTTGCTCGCTCCCTTGTCCCCCTCCCCCCTCCAGTAGCTTCAGGCGGGCAGGACTATTTCACGCCTTGTTGAAAATTCAGGATTTTCTTTCTTTCCGTCTAGTCTCTCTTTTTGAGAAGCGTCTGTGTGTGTCTGTGTGCCTGGCAGCTTGTCTGCAACATTGGGTGTGTGTCTGCATGCCGCTGTAGGAGTGTGTCTCTAACACTAGTTGTTCTGCCTGTAATACTTGGTGAATTTGTGTCTGTGTCACTGGGAGTGTTTGTGTGGCTGTGGTCACTGAGGTGGTGCGAGTGTGAAATGCTGGGTGTGTCTGTGCATCTGTAATTGCTGTGTGTCCGAGGGGCCTGAAACACCAGGTGTATTTTTGTGTATCTAACTCTGGGTGTGATGGTGTGTCATTACACGTGTGGGAATGGGGCTTGAACCATTGCAGATTCCCAGGGATGTAGGGCTAGCAATGACTTGGGGGCTAGAAGGGCCTAGGTGTCTCAAACTATGCCTCTCTGTCTCCACTGTCACAACCCACACAAATCCTCTCAGCTGGTGCCAGGGGCTCCTGGTCAGCATTGGTGAGATAGAGCTAAGGTTCACACTGTCAGGGCTGATACTCCAACTGAGACCCTGAGCCTACACAAAGACTAGGAGTTTAAAGTTCATGCACAGGACTTCTGGGGGCTCTGGAATCCATACTCAGATGCACACTGGGACACTTCAGCTCCTTCTAGGGTCTAGGGGCTTACATTCATATGGACTGACACTTACGTTGTGGGGCTCATATCCAGGGATACACTTCAGTCCTGGAGTTTCCACATAGACTCACATTGGAACTCTGCTCACACTGGGACCCACACTGGGACTGTAGGCTCATGCTTAGATTCACGGTCTTACCCTTTAGCTTAGATCTACATTGAGACCTAGAGCTCACACCCAGAATCTCACTGGGGTCCTAGGGCTCACACTGGGGCTCACACAAAGACCCTCATGCTCACTCCGATTCACACTTATATTCTGGGACTCCGAGTTAGTCAGACTCGCATGGGGAACATGGGGCTCACATTTGAACTCAAGGACTCGCTGAGGACACTGGGGTTCATAGTCAGATTCACATTTCCAAGCTGGGGATCACATTGACTCACACGGGGACCCTGGAGCTCACTCAGATTCACACTAGGACCTTTGGGTTCACACTTAGATTCATATGGGAACTTTGGGGGTTAGACCTCCATGGGTAACCTGGAGCTCACACATAGACTCATACCAGGATCTTGGTAGGACTCACTTGAAGTCCTGTGACTCACTCAGATTCATATTGGGATCTCAGAGCTCACACTCAGACTCACAGTAGGATTCTGATGTTCACACTTAGACTTACAAGGGTACTTTGGGACTCACACTCAGACTTAAAAAGGGATACCAGTGCTCACACTAGGACTCCATATAAGCCACCTTAGCTCATACTCAGAAGCCCTTATGACCAGGGTCTCACACTCAGACTTACACTAGAACTCTAATGCTTATGCTGACTTGTACAGGAATGCTGGGACTCACAGGCTCTCTCACTTCAGTCCTGGAGCTCACATTCAGACCCACTGGGGTTTACAGTCAGATGCGTGCTGAGACCTGGGCTCATACTCAAACCCGTACTTGCATCTTGGAGTTCACACTTAGATGGACATTAGACCGTGACACTTAGATTAAACTCACACTGTCATCCTGGGCTCACATTCAGATCCACACTAAGATTGTGGCATTCACAATCCCAGTGGAACTTAGGACTCATGGTCAGATATGCCCATGCTTTCCTTTGGTTTGTGGTGAGTATCGGGGCACTTGAAGTGAAGAACAGAGACTGCTACAGGATCTGTCCCCTCCAAAGGTGAGGAGGAGAGAGGACACACATTTGGTCACGTCCCTCACAATGGGCTGTGGGCTAATGGAGGGGAGTGGTGGTAAAGGCTAACCCAGTCAGATTTCGCTGCTTTCCTTCCATAAGGAGACTAGACTCTTGGCAGGAAGATCTGAGTGGATTGTTGGTACAGGAGTAATGTGAACCTTTAGATTTCTCCGTGTGCCATGTCAATGCATACCCATCCCCCTTGAATAGTTTTGGACATCCCTTCTGTGGTAGAGAAGGGCCAGGTGGGGGAAATAAGACTCCTGTCCTCCCAAGACATCTCCCCCGCCCCATACACACACACATCTCAATCATTCTTAGGATGGGAGGGGTGTGAAGATTGGAGGGAGCAGACCTTGGCTCCTGCGACTGCTCCAGGGTGTTGAATCTGTGATTGTAGGAGAGATAACAGCCTCAGATCTGTGGGGAGAAAGTAGCTGGAGGAGGAGACGGGATCCCACCCTCTCTTCTCTTCTCTGCCCTGGCTGGGGAGGGGTAGGGACCATGTTTTGTTGTGCGTGTCTCACAGTGTCTCTGGGATTGCCTGTTGAGCCCTTATCCTGGCTCCAGGGCATGCCTAGGCTTCCCCACTCTGTTCCCCAAAAGAGCAGTAGCCCTGGGGGGCCTAGGATGCAGCCAGCCCTGGGATTCTAACTCCCGTGGAGACCCTGCCCTGGACTTTGCGTGCTCTGCTGCTATGAACATCAGTGGGTGGGGCTGCCTGAGATATGCTGTCTTCCCCCATGGGAGCCCACACAGTAGGGACATGGCCCTGCGGTCCCTCCCAATGCTGAGATGGCTGGGCTGTAACTGCTCCCCGTCCTGAAGGGGACACACGCTCTCCAGCCGGGGTGGGAGGCTTGGAGGCAAGACACCCCTGCTCTCTGCCCCCCCATGGCGAGTTGAAGTGTAAATGAATCGGAAACATATGGAGTGGATTTTCTTTGAAATGCAGATGGGTTAGGGGGGACCATGTGTGCTTGGTTTGGGGCGTCCTGGAGAGCAAGGAGCCTGAGAAGTGAGAACTGACCCCTCCTCCAGACCCACCATTGGGTGGGGGTAGTGGGGGAGACCTCAGCTTTGTAAACTCCTGTGGCCCTGGGTGACCAAACCCACAAGGGCTCTCAGCTTCCTGTGGGGAGGGGCTGGGAAGGCAAGTGGTCCCTGGGGATGGAGAGCACTGAGGTCATCAGTCCCTTTTACCTCTGCAGAGGGCAAAGAGAGTCCCAAAGCACAGAGCTGTGCCCGGTTGGGGGTCACCAGAGCTAGGCACTCTGGGGGCCAAGGGGTGGAAGGAGGAGCTGGAGCAGGCGTTGAGGAAGAGTTAGACCCTGTGGCTGTGGGCAGCCAGCTCCCAAAAGCTAAGACTAGAGCTACAGTAGCAGGAACTGAAATTAAACTATGGTAGTGACTTGTGTTCAGCTCGAGGGCCCGTCTTGGGCTTAGGAGCAAACTGAAGAGTCCTTAGCCTGTAGGAGGACAGGTTTCTCCAGACCCCAGGGTAGTCAGTGTGCCCCACCATATATCCTACCTGTACTTTCCCCACGTGACACCCAGGAAGGTTGCACAGTAGTTGCCTCTGAGCTCTACGTGACTCAAGGACTGGGTCTCCCTTGCTCACCCTGTACCTGCCTGCCCTTGGCACAGACCTCGTACACCAGAGGAAGGCATTCTTGTGTGAACAGTAATACATCTTTTTCTGTCTCATTGGACCGAATGCTCCCTGTGGGCACGACCATGTGCCTGGCTCCCTGTACAGTGCCTGGCAGGGAATAGGTGCTCAATAAATGTTGAGGCATGAATCACTGAGTGGGACAGATCATGAGGAGAGGGAAGCTGCTGGGATTTGTGGTTTGAGACCCAGCATCCCCTGTCCTACACCCCTGTTTGGCTCAAAGGAAGACTGGTTTGCAGGCTAGAGTAGAGGAAGGACTTTCCTTCACTCAGGGAAGGAGTGCAGAGGATAGGCTCCTTCCTTGGAAAGGTCTGGACCAGAGGAGGCTGGGGCAGAGCAATCACACCGATTCTGTGGCAGAGGTCAGAGGTCATCCTGCCCCTTCCCAGCCTCAGGATTTTGTAGAAAGTAAGGTCCTTTTTTCCCTATGTGGTGGTGAACACGTCCCTTACCCTCTAGGTGTGAGTTTCTTGGACAAGAAGAAATTCCCTCGGGGGAATGGACCCCATCTCTGACCCTCTAGCTGAAGGAATGGACCCCATCTCTGACCTTCCAAGGCTGGGCTCTGAGGCTGTGTAGCTGTTGTGGGCACCACAGACTGTCTGTATTGGTTATTAATGCCTGTCTGAGAACACGGGGTTCGGATCCTAAAAATACTCTGTCCAGCCAGAGCCCAGGAGTTGCTGGCGTGGGCCAGTGTGGCAGTGGCTGCATCTTGGTCAGATAGAGACAGAGAGGAAGAAACACACATCCAACGCCAGGAAAGACTGGGAGAGTGTGTGAATATGGGGAAACTGAGGCAGCATAGGTGAGAGATGCACAAGAAAGAGAGCCTTTGTTTTATATGGAGCAAAGATTTATAAAATTACTGGTGCCAGTTAGTCAAATTATGGCAACATTTAGGGTAATCTGTTATCCTAAATAACTGCAGAGAATTTCCTTCTAAGAGAGTCTGGAGATACAACTGATGTCAGACATAAAAACCAAGTAGTCAGTAGGATCCATTTCAAGACCAGCTTCAGGATGTTCCAAAATAAGAGTGTGGCAAAAAACACAAAGTGTTCCCAACTACCCTTTTCTGAGCCACTGCCCTCCTCCTTACCTCTTCAGAGCCCCTGCTCTCAGCCAGAGTCCCAATGAGGGGCTTAAGACTCCCTTTTATAGCCTCCCCCAACTTCTAAATCCCAGGTCTTTGCGTAGCCCCTCTCTCCAGAAGGGAGCTGCACAGTGGTTCCAAAAAGGCAGAGGAGCCCAGAGTCAGAGGGAAGATGCCATGTGACCTCGGCCCATGAGCTGACCCTTGTGGGCCCCTCCGTGAAATTGCGGGATGGGGGGCTGGGCCCTGGCCCAGGCCCGGAGAGAAGGCGGTTTTGGCACCCATCCAGGCCCCTGACGTCAATGACTTTCCAAATAATGGAATCAATATTGGGGGCTGGGGGCAAGCGTGAACCAGGCCCCAACGATTAGAAACAGATCAGCACAACCCCGCAGCTGATTCTGATAGAGCTGCCTTGGCGAGCTTGGGTGGGAGGCCTGGAAGGAGGTGGACTTGTGGGGGTGGGGTTGGGGGGTGCTCAGGAATTGGCAGGCGGAGCCACCTGGTGTCCAGAGCTTGAGGGTATACAAGTGGGCAGAGATTCGGGCTGTCTGGGATTGGAATGATGGGGTGAGGACCCCTGTCCTGGTGCCTTCCTCCTGTGAGCCTACAGGGTTCTGAGGCTAGGTAAAGTTTGTGGATGGAGACTTAGCCAGCTAGCGATAAAGAGTGGGCAAGGGGATTTCATCTCTCTGCATCCCAGATGTGGGCCCCTAGGCCATATTAGGGGTCACAGGTTATACCCATGCAGTGGAAAAGTTCTGAGTGAGACCTAAGTAAGACGACTTTTTGCTTGGAAGCAAAGGGCATTAATCCAAGATAGGGAGATGGGTATCCCTCCTCAAATTGGGAGTATGGCCTCCTCCACCAGCTCACATTCTCTCAGCCTCCTAGAGGACAGCAGGTGAGGATGGAGGGGACCATAGGGTTTATGGGGGGCTGGTCTGGCAGCAGCTGACAAAAAACAGGAAGAAGGGCTGGGGGAGCGGCTGTAATTATGGGGCATTTATTATTAATCAGATGAAATTGCTGGAAGCAGCTGGTGTAATGTGCGTAGCTATACAGACTCTGCATGCTCCCCCCACAATACGCACACACACATACGCACACCACACACAGCCTGAGCCTTGCTTGCTTTCACAGTCTGTTTCTTGTGAAGGTCAGATGGGTCTATATGTGTCTGTCTGCATACTGGAGTGTATCTGTCGGTGTTTTTTCATGTCAGCCTGTACCCTCCTCTACTCCTATTGTCTCCTTTTCCAGCTATCTCTCTCATTCTTTGGCCTAATGTGTCCCTCTCTGTCTCTGGCTTCCCCTCAGTCTTCCTCCCTTTGAGCCTGTCTTGGTGTGGCTGTATCTGTCACTATCAACCACCTGTCTCTAACATCTTATTTTAGTTTCTGGCTATCTCTCCCTGGGTGGTGGTGTCTCTGCATCTCTGGGCAGGATTGGAAGACATGGAATCCCTTTCTCATGGTATGTGTTTAGGCACCTAATCATACCTTTGGCAGATATATCTGGGACCTGTTTTCAAGGGAGCAGTTGGACCCTGAGGATCTCCTGGGGTCTTATAGAAGGTGAGGGGTCTTTTGAATGGCTAGAGTCCATAGAAGCAACAGTGGCTTTCAAGATATCCCTGAGTTCAAGGCCAGCTCCTTTACCAACTACCAGTTGTATGACTTTGGCCAAGCTGCTTCTGCTCTCTGAGCCTCAGTTTCAGGATCTGTAAAACAGAAACAGGATTACCTCCAAAGCTTGTGTTTTTTTTTTTTTTTTTTTTTGCCATAGGGTTTCACTTGGTCACCCAGGCTGGAGAGTGCAGTGGCTCAATCTTGGCTCAGTGCAACCTTCGCCTCCCACGCTCAAGTGACCCTCCCACCTCAGCCTCAGGAGTAGCTGGAACCACAGGCACATGCCACCACGCCTGGCTAATTTTTTGTATTTTTGGTAGAGATGGGGTTTCACTATGTTGCCCAGGCTAGTCTGGAACTCCTAAGCTCAGGTGATCCACCTGCTTCAGCCTCCCAAAGTGCTGGGATTACAGGTGTGAGCCACCATGCCTGGCCTTGAAGCTTGTTTTGATGATTCAGTACCAAAATGTAAATTAAGTACTTATCACAGTGTCTGGGTAACCAAGGACCCTGAACAAGTGATACCTGCTGTTATTATTCTTGGGAAAGACATTGTGCAGGTGGGTGAGAGACCTGCACAGGCAAATTGGTATAGCAGCAAGGTTTTGGAACTAGATACGGACTCAAATCTAGACTCTGGAACTGATCAGCTCTGTGGTATTGGGCAAGGCCTCCTTGAAGCTCAATCTCCTTGGTTATCAAATGTGAAGAACAATAAAACCTACCTCATGGAGAAATCATGAAGATTAAGTAAGATAATGCATATAAAGTGCCAAACACAGTTCCTGGCATATAATAGATGCTCAATAAATCATAGTGGTGATAAGGAAGGGGGTGTTACGATGGTGGTTATTTACACCGTGCCTGTGACCCTGTGCCTCTAGGATTGTGCATGTGAGGATGCATGTGATATGGAGGTGCCTGTGTGTCTGCAAACTGATTGTATAAGAATTGTGGATTGTCTGTGGGTGTGTATCTGTGTATTGTATCAGGCCACTGCCTTCTGGCAACCTTTGTCCCTGTGGTTCAGAACCTGAAGTCAGCAAGGGGTGCTGGGAGGGGTCTGTATTACTCTCAACTTTTCTTCTTCCAGACGTTTAGCTGCTGCCTGCCTCAGTCTCCCCTTCTCACAGTGGGGCTGTGAGTATGGAATGGCCTCTGAGTTGGACTAAGGCCTGTGGCTCCTCTGTGACCTCTGATTTGTGCCCTTTGCCCTTCTAGACTCTAGCCTTGTCACCTCATCTTGCCCCCTTGGTTTTGGAAGTCCTGAAGAGTTGGTCTGGAGGAGGAGGAGGACATTGATGTGCTTGGTGTGTGGCCAGTGGTGAAGAGGTAGGTGCTGGGGCCCACGTGGGGCAGATCAATCTCAGGGAATCAGGCAGGTGTAGTGGGGCTGTACGTCTAGGGGACATGAGTGGAGGAGGACCTGAGATTCCTTCCTCTCTTCCCCTGTCCTTTCTTTTTCCAGAGGTTTTGGGCTCAGCCTGGCTGAGGCTTTTCATGCTCTCAAATAGAAAGGGAAGAGACTTACCTGTGGTCACACAGGCAAGGGCAACACCAGGTTAGGAAACTGGGTTCTATACTAAGGGGGTGCTGAGTCCCAGATATGGGAGTATGTTTCTGTTTCAGTATCCTCAGATTTCCTCTCTGCCCCCCAGACATCTCTCTTATTTGATTGGAGGAGCAGCTAGGCTTTAAAAAGATGGGATGGCAGGTCAGAAAGTCCAGAATCTTCTGAGGCCAGCTGTGGGGCCGAGCCTGACTCTCCCTGTCTCTCATTCAGGCCAGGCAAGGCCCCTGGATTGGCAGCTTGGGGGTGGGGGCATCCAAGGCATCGAGGCACTGGAGCGGAACGGAAGGGCCTATTGTCCAAAACCCGCCAGAGGCCCACAAAGGCCGGCCGGGCTTTTCATCTCAGCTCCCAAACAGACTGGCCATTTTCCCGGCTGGGGGCTGAGGGGGGACTAACCCTTCACAACTAGGACCAGGTTGTTGTTGAGGGTGGAGTGGGGTACCCCAGGCTGACACATAAAAGGGGCTTAAGATGGAGCTGGGGCCCAGGAGAGGAGGAAGGGAGGCCTGAGAAGGCTGTAGAGAGTTAAGCTTTTCACCCCACTGTTCCCAGAGGACCCAAGGACATGGGGTGTGTATCTGATAGAAGTTCAGACTAGGATGGGGCTAGGAGATGGATTTACAGAATAAAAGATAATATTTATGGGGGGTACCTTGGGAGGAGTCTGATGGCTTATTTGGAAAGTGTGCTACTGGGCTGAGAGGGCACGTAATCCTCCGCAAACTGGGAACACCTTAGGGAGCCGGGACAGGAGCTGGAGAAGAGAAGGATAGTGGTCGGGGAAAGAATGGGCTCCCTGCAGCAAGAAGAACTGAGGCCAGACAGCAGGAAGGACTTCCTGCCAGTGAACAGTAGCTCAGATGCCCTGACCCTCTTCCTGGGGATCTCAGAGGATTGCCTCAGCGAGCAGGGGAGCTGGAGAACACCCCAGGGGCTCAGGCTGAGGCAGCTTCTGTGGGGGCCAAGGAGGAGGAGGCCAGAGAGGGAGGACTTGGCAGTTCTGTTCACCCTCCCCCAGCAGCACCTCCAGCACCACTTTAAAAACAGCTTTTTAATTTAACAAAGTGGATGAAAAACGGTTTTTGGAAATAAAGAATATCTGCTGTCTCCCAGGCTAGCACTCAGCCCTTGCAGAGAGCCTCTCTCTGGGCTTCTCCCTGCTGCCCATGGTTCCTTTCCTCCCTGTCTCTTTTTGTTTGTTTGTTTCTGCTCCTCAGCCCCCCAGCTTCCTTTGGCCTCCCATCACCCTCTCTCTCTCCATCACCCTCTCTCTGTCCATCTCAGCCTCCGTGGGAGCCTCGCCCTCAGTGTCTTATCTCAATGGTATCTCTGCATTTCCTTCTGTCTCTCCTCTCCCAGTCTCTCTCTTCTAGGGCCCATCTCTCTTTCCTGATTTGTCTCTGTCTCCCAGCCTGTCTCAATCTCTGTCTCTCCACCCCCCTCCTTCTCCCCCAACCCCAGCTCTAAATGGGTCTATTTAAAACGCCCAACGCTGCCAAGTCAGAAAAGCGTCTCCTGATAAAGCGCATTAGGCGGAGGGAGGGAGGAGGGGGAGGAGGGAGCGGCGGGCGGACGGATTGATCCAAGCCCGTAACCCCATTAATCAGGCAGCGTGGATCCCCCTCCCTCCCCCGTTCCAGCCCCTTTTGAGCTAAAAGCCCCTTAAATATTTATCACCCCTCCCCCACAGGGGCGAAGGGAGGAGGGTATGGCCCTTGGTGTGAGTATCCCCAGCTGTCTGGTGCCCCCGACCCCATGCGGATGTGCATTTGCACGTGTGCGTGTGCGTGTGCTCATGTATATGTGTACGGGTGTGCACACCTGACAAGCCCAGGGTCCAGTGACCAACCTGTCCGTCACCCTCTGGGCAGCCTGGTCCCTCCCTGGAGACCCTAGGAGTCTGGCCCTGCTCCTGTCCCTCCTAAAGGCGGATCTGGGGTCCTCATCCCAAATGCAGAAAGTAACTGGAGGACGGGTGGCATTGCACTGTCATTCCCAGAGGGCAGGATGGTGAGCCTGGGGTTCAGTTTCCAGATTCCCCCAAATTCCCAGCACTGGAAGTAACTTGGGGAATAGAGTTGGGGCCCCGTGCTCCTAAAGTAAGGCAACTTGGAAGGCTGGCTGAAGTTCCTGCTTTATCCTCACAGGGCAGAATAGGACCTGGAATAGGACCTGGGGGTAGGCTGGGAGCCTCCCGTGCCCTAAAAAATGTGGGAAAGTGAGCTGGGCCTTGAGGTGTGGCGGTCACCCCGGGAGGAGGAAGGTAGCCGGGAGCTGGGGCCGGGTCCCACATCTCTCACCACTTGCTGATAGCCCCAGGCAGCAGAGGTCAGCCCTGAGACCAGCAGTGGTCTGCCCGAGTTGGCCTGCGGCAACTTCTCCTTGGGAGGGGAAAGGAGGCCCCGGCCACCCCTGGGTGTGGAGAGGGGCCGGGACCGGAGCGGGGAGGGTCCCTTCTGCCTCCCCTCCCCCAGCATCAAGTGCCACATCTCCTCCTGACTCAGACAATTAGATTCAAAGGATGACCTCACTGCATGCCGTCCCTCACTCTCCCTCCGCTAGCTCGCTTGCTCGCTTGCTCGTTCGCTTGCAGCGCGCTCCTTCCTCCCCTCCTCCCGGCCCGCTTGCCCGGTCGCTCACTCGGGGCTCGGCCCTCGTCGCTCACCGCGCGGCCCGGCCCCTCGCCCACCCGCCCGCCGGGACCGCTGTGGGGGTTGCTTCTGCCTCCCGGGTCGTTCCGGCTGCCCGGGCCCCAGCCCCGCAGACCCGATGCCCGCAGGCGGGCAGGCGGACCCACGGAGCGCCGGAGGCACCGACGGGGCGCCTGCGTGGGGACCCAGGTCAGTGGCCACAGGGCCGGAGGACTTGTCACCCCCGCCGCCGCGACGCCCCCGCCCCGCGCTCGCCCGCCCGCCAGCCCGCCCAGCCCGCCTCGGCGCTTCCCGCTCCTTTCTCGGCCTCCGCCCCCCGCGGCTGCTCGGCGCGCTCCCCCTGCCAAGCTGTCTCTCTTCTTTTCTCTTCTCTGTCTCTCCCCCCAGCCCCCCTGCCTCTGCAGCCGGTGGGAGGGACTGGGACTTCCTGAGGTCCCAGGGATGGGGCCGGGGCCCATTGGCTGCAATCGGACCAGGCCTCTGAGAGGGGAGGGGGCTCTGGCTGTGTCCATTGGCCTGGGGGAGGGGACCACCGCCTGAGTGGAAGGGGGGCTACAGAGAGAGAGGCCCAGCGTGTGGGGGTGACATCTAGACAGAGGGGATGAGCTCCTGATATCTTTCTTTTCTCACATCCTGTGGGCCTCTTGCCTGGTTTCATTTGATCCCCAAAGCCTGGCTTCATTTGTCCACACCTCCTAGCTAACTTTAGTCCCCACTGCCTGATTTCATTTGGCTCCCACCACCTACCTTCTTTGGGGCCCTGTCACCTGGTTTCCTTACACCCTGCTGCCTGGTTTCTTTTGTCCCCACTGCCCCCTTCCCCGAAGTCCCTATCACCTGGCTTTATGGCATTACCCCTGCCTGGTTTCCTTAGGTCCTGCCTGTCTTCCGTGGAGTCACGTCAGGCTCCTTTTAGGATGGAGGCATCAGGGCCCCAGCTACACCTGGAGTGGCAAGTGGCAAGGATGTCTGCAGCATTGCCGATCTTTCCTGGGCTGGGGCCTGGCCAGCACAGCCTGGATTCCATTCTGACTGGACAGCGACTCCGCGTCTACTCCTCCAGTGATGGGGGCGGGGCTGCAGGGTCCAAGGACACCTTAGGACTCTCCTCCTCAGTGGTTAGTTAGAGGAGCACCGCTGGCTCTGCCTGCTCCCCTCCTGCTGCTGGGCATCTGCCCTACCTCTCTGTGGGCTGACAGTGATGCCAGGGCTTTGGTGGGGGCTGGGGGGCTGGAGTGGAGGTCTCATCTCCTTCCCTTCTCCTGCCCTTTCTGCAGCCAGGCCAGACATCTGGGTGCCCGCTAGACAGTTATGGGCACATAGAGGTTTTGAAGAGGCCTTGGGATCACACAGCAGATAGCTAGGCTGAGAGCTGCTGCCGATCCGCATCGTGGGGAAGAGAGGGTGATGAGGGAAGGCAGCAAGGGCCTGGGAAGTCGGCTGATTTCTGGGCCTTTCTGGCTCTTGCTGATTCCAGTGCCACCATCTGTCTCCCCCAGGTACTTCCTTCACCTCTCCTGTCTGGAATGGATCTCCCTTCATTCCCTAATGCTGTTGAAAGCAGGGTTTGGGGAAGAAGGAGCTGCCTGGGGAATAATCATTTATTTTCTCACTTTTTAGGGACCAACGAAGTATTTCCTTTCCTTTTCTTTCCTGCCCTAGGCATCCCTAGGCTTTCTGTCCCTCCCCTCAGGCACGGCTAGGCAACCTGAGGTGCTGGCACAGTGTGGCTGTTCAGGGTGTGTATGTGGGTGTTTCCCATTGCCGGTGTCGGGGC
Source organism: Homo sapiens (assembly GCF_000001405.40). Taxonomy (NCBI): domain Eukaryota; kingdom Metazoa; phylum Chordata; class Mammalia; order Primates; family Hominidae; genus Homo; species Homo sapiens. Next base: position 34,576,425 of record NC_000009.12, on the reverse strand, counting down.
GTGAGAGGCCAAGGGCGACTGGGGGCCCTGAGCTTCTGGAAGTGTACAATGGTGTCTGTGTGGAAGGTTGACTGTTCGGAGTGTGTGATGGTATCCATATGTGAGACCATGGCTGTGTGAGGGAGTCTGTGTGTGTGAGTGTGACTGTAATGTGTGCACGCACACCAGCGTGTACGGGGCTGTGGGAGTGGGTGTCCATGTGGGAGGCCCTGATGTGTGGCCACGATGGTAGGCTCTGAATGCCAGTGTCTGCGAGAGGCTGCCTGGGTGTGTCTGTGAAGCTCTGGCCCTGTGTGTCTGAGGAGGCGGGGGCTTTGAGAGCTCTGCCGGGTGTAGTGAGAGCCCAAGTGTGTGCTCTGTCTCGGGGTGAAGTGAGCGCTGGGTGCTCTGTGGCCTGAGTGGCTGGTGTGTGTGTGAGCACGTGTGTGCACGTACTCACGCCTGTGTTTACCCATCAGGAACAGATTGCTGTGGCTTCCCCACTGTGAGGAGGGGAGGAAAGGGGAGGAAGGATGGCTCGGTCTTGCCCAGCAGACCAGGAGGCTCCTCAGAAGTAGCGTGCATGGTGCATATGCACGTTAGGGGGCAGAGAGAACAGAACACAGAAGACATTTGAAGCTTCTTTTCCCCCCACCCAACTCTGGCTCTGTCAGAACGACCATCTTCAGGTTTTTTTTGTTATAAGCCGATGCATCACATGCACTGCTGCCCCCACCCCCCGGGGTGTGTGTGTGTGTGGGTGGGTGGGTGGGTGGGTGTGTGTGTGAGCTTGCTTGCATGGGCCTCTGTGTATGGATTCAAGGGTGTGTCTGCACCATAGCAGTGATGGGGCCAGGGGTGGGTGTGGTAGGAGATGCTGAGGCAAATAGGTCTTTGTCCTAATCTCCAACTCTGGAAAGCCATTCTATCCATCCTTGTCTCCACGGAGGGCCCTGCCTTGCAGCCTCCTTCCTGTCCCCGGCGTCCGCTTCGGGCCTTTCCTTACCCCACCCCCCTGCTAAGGGAAGTCTCAGTCAACCCTATTGCTCTGCCCATCCCCTGCCTTTCGTTGAGTTCTTCCAGCTGTCTAATGTGCTACAGCGTTCTGTCCCTACAAGAGGAGCAGTACCCCGCTCCCCACAGACTTAGCCTAACTGGTGTGTGTGCCTTTCCTGGGTGGAGGGGGCTTCCTGATTCTTCTGGAAGCCAGAAGAGACTGGACTGGGGTTGGGGGCTGGGGGATTTGGCACCAGTACCTCAGGTTCTGTGAAGCTCTCCAGAGCCTATGTGTCCAAAGGGAGGATACGAACTTATCTGCCCCTTCCTCCTCTCCATTCAAGAGGCAGGGGGCTGGACCAGATGACTTTTGAGGGTGAAAGCCCAGGCCTTCTGCATCTAGAGGGCTACTTAAGCACAGGCCTGCATGTATGTGCATATACAAGCCCATGCCCAGGTCACCAGGCAGCATGCGGGGCCCCAAGTGGGCCTCCACATGTGGGCACAGGCTGGTGACAGATTCCTCTCTCCCCAGGATGCCTCCCCAGCTGCCCAGCCAGGCCCATCATGGGAGGGCCCCAGGCTCCCCCAACAACACGCCCGCACACACGTGCAGCAGGGCACGCACATGCTGATCTCAGGGTCCCCACGGTGCAAGAGGCTGGGAATGGGGGTTTTGAGCACTGAGTCCAGGCCGCTGCCAAAATCCATCGGAATCTTGTCCCCTCCAGGACCCCATCTCCGGCTGTGGAGGTCACAACAGCAGGTGCGGATACCAACCCCCCCAACTCACTCAATTGGGCCGCCTCCTTTTCCACAGCCTCAGCCAGCGTCGAGAGCTGGGGGACCACTCCCCCTGCCTCCCTCCTGGCCCCTTCCTACTGGTGCTTGGCTTATTCTGCCCCCTTCTAAGGAGGAGGACAGGGCCTAAGCTTGGGTAGGGTCATTTCCCCTGAGGACTGAGGCTTGCCCTTGGCGTGGGTGGGGACATGGTAGCCCAGGAGGAGGTAAAGCTTGAATCCTGAACCCAGGCACAGCTTGGAGCCCTATGCCACTTGAGGTGGGGTCACTGAGAGAGCTGAGAGGAGAGGCAGGTCTGGATTCAGAGAGGAGGGAAAAGAGAAGGGGCTAGAGATCAGAGATTCGGAGACAGGAGGGAGAAACACCATAGGGAGTGGGAACCTGCCCGCCCATGGCTAGCCGGCCCCAGCCCACGAGCTGGCCCCTGACCTAGGCCCGCCCTTCCCTGGTGAGGGGCCTGCCGGGCCAGCTGCCAGGGGCCAGGCCTCCCTCCTCGGCCTGGTCCCCCCACCCCCCAAGCCTCTGGACCGCTCAGGCCTCTGCCCCCGCCCCCACCGCCCACGCTGTCCAGGCTGCCTAGGCCTGGTGGGATCTGGGGGCCTCCCAGCCTCAGCCCCTCCTCCCTGTCCTGGAGCTTCCCGCCTGCCCTGACTATCTCTTCCAGGCTCCCCCCTCAGCCAGTACTGTTCCTCCCTGCCCACCATGTCCTTGTCCCTGTCTTTGCCCCCGCTCTGTCTCTCATTTCCTTCTCCATCTCCAAGTCTATGTATCTCTGTTTCTCTGCTCCAACCTAATTCCTCTGCAGGTCTGAGGCTTCTAGAGTCCCCAGGCGTTTGAATCAGTGAGTCCATGCTGTGTCCTGCATTCTTGCCTCATTCCTGAGATGGGCCCTCTAGGCTGCTGTGGGGAGAGGTGAAGGAGATGAGGCTCCAGGATAAAAGGTGCCTTTTCCCCTCACTGTGGGATTCTGGAGTCTGGGCTGTGGGAGTCAGAGCGGGGACTGGAAGCTGTGGGGAGTCCCCTCCGCTCTGTGCTGGGCCGGATGCCCTTCATCAGATGGATGTTCTGAACCCACCCTGACGCCTGGCAATGGGGGGAGTCCATCCGGTGACCTTCTTTGGATTTCAGTTCCCTGCCTCGGAGTTGGAGTAGTAACCTTGCTTCGAGGTCACTTGCCTTGAGGCCCCCCTGATCCTTCATTGTCCAGGCCAGACTGAGCCTACCTGAGCCTCGGCGTGCCCACAGCAACCCAAACCCTGAAGTGCGCAACACACTATTACAGATCAACCCGCACACACAATTACAGCTGAGACGCAGTTAGTGGTGCTCATTATCCCCCACCCTGACCTGATGGCGGCAGGGCTTCCCCAGGGTTGGCCTTCTACAATCTAAACTGCTGTAATTCTGCAGGGATAAATAGAGGCTTTCCAAAACTCACACCTCCTTCCCCCAGGTTCTGCCCTCAGCTGGGCATGGGGTGAGGGGAGGGGTACAGGGCAACCCGGAACATTGCTGGGACTGGCAAGACGGTTCTTGGGTCTTGGGTCCTAAGCCAGATTCTTAAACTGGGTAACAGGGGTTCCTGACCTGGAGCCTGTCGCTGTGTCTGTTTGTTACCGACGGCGGCTGTCAGACTTCAGGGCTGCCAGTATTGCTGTGGACTAGTATCATTCTGTGAGACTGTTACTGAGTCTATCAACATTGCTGTGTCACTGTGTTGATGTCACCGTCAGTGTGACTCGATGTGACTGAGTCTCATTGCATCTTTGATTCTGAGGTTACCATCACTGTGACTGTGTCAGTGTCAACTGGTATCATTGCCCCGTTTGTTGGTGTCAATGTATGTGACTGTCACTCACTGCATTATTGTCATCGTGGTGACTGTCAACATCCCTGTGTGTCATTGTCAACGGTACAACTGTGTCATTTTCAATGGGTGTTGTTATCATTGTGTAATGGTATCTTTATGCCACAGTGGGACAATGGCAGTAAGTTGGGGCCCCAGAATTTGACTCTTAATGTGTTACCTGTGTGGGAGTAATGATGACACTAGGGTTCTGTGCTGGGAGAGGTGCAGGGACCCTTGTGCTGACAAGGGGCTCAGGGGCTTTTGGGCGCTAGGCTCCTTCCTTGCTTATGGGGTACCCCCTCTGTTCCCTCCTCATTCTGGGGCTGACCTCTTTGAGGGGCTGAGAGGAATCCTGGGCTAATTTGCAGAGCCCTTATCTGGGGCTCTATGGGATTTATCCTGCACATCTATCTCAGAGCCATGGGGTGTGGACTTGGAAAATTCCCAGGAAAGATGCTCTTTGCCCTGGGATGGGTGGCCTGGAGTGAGCCAGGGCAGGATGGAGGTGTGTCCTGGATGCCTCTGGCTTCAGCCTCCCAAACTGGGCATTGGGCCCAGTTGGGAGTCTGAGGAAAGGGGGAAGTGAAACTGGCCTGGGGCTTTCTGGATCTGCAGGGGCAGGGCAGGGGCAGGGGCAGGGGCAGAGATGGGGTTTTACCCTTGTACCCTAGGGGTTGGGGTCCTAGATCCCCAGCAAGAATCCTTCCAGCCTCCAGGAAGGCCCTGTTCTTGCCTCACATTGCATTGACCACCATCCCATCCTCCATTGTGCTAGAGGAGCTGGGCAGGCCACGGAGATGCTCTAGGGTGGGCAGAGACCCTGCCAGGGGTCTCCTCTCTTCTCTCTGGATCTGTCTCTCCCTCTGCCCTTGAGTCTCTGCCCATCTCCTATATGCCCCATCTTTTCCCCTGCGTCTCTTCTATTTCTTCCTATCTCAGCCTCTCCTTGTCCCTCTGGGTCTCCACTCAGAGCTCCTCCTCTCTCCCTCCCTCTTGTCTCTCCTCCCTGAGTCTCTCCCTTTTCTGGGTGCCCCCAACCCTGCAGTGTCTGTCTTGGCACCCCATCCCCACTCTGCAGCACTCACTCTCAGCAGCACCCGTCTCCCGTGGCTGCAGCCCCGTTGGCCCAGGGCCCGGCCCTTACAGTAACTCATCAGGCTGATGGAGGCGACTTTGATGAAGAAGCCACCCCTCCCCCCGCGGGGGCCTGAGTGTGTGTGTGTGTGTGTGTGTGTGTGTATGCGCACGCGTGCACGCATGCACGTGGGAGTGTGTGCTTGTGTGGACCAGGAAGGAGCTGGGAGTAGAGGCCACCCATTCCTCCTCTCCCTGAACACTCCCATCCTTGGATCTAACCTCAGCCACTCCGCCTGCTCTTCTGCCTGCCCATGCCCTGGTTCCTGCTCCCATGTGGTGGGCAGTGGCCTGGCACTGAGGCGGAGGATCTTCCTGGCTGTGAGGAGAAAGACATGGACAGATGGCAGAGGCAGTGGGGGAGGGTGTGAGGGCGACTGGCCAGGGCTGAGGTTGGGGAACCAGGTAGGCCTCTGGCTGCTGGTCTCGTTTTCTCTCTCTTACACCAGCTCTGAATTCAGGCAGTCCTGGGTTCATTTCCTGGCTGCACGGCTTGCTGGCTGTGTAACTTTGGCCATTGTCTTAACCTCCTAGGCCTGAGGAGTAGCTGAAGAGTGGTGAGGGGCTGAGGGTCAGAAGGAGCCAGGCCAAGTGGTAGCTAAGGCTCCAGGAGTCACTGATGCGCAAAGGGTAGCTGGGGCCACTTAGGACACAGAGAGATTTACTGTGCCAGGGAGGGGCAGTCAGGGCACCTGTGGCTGTGACAGGGAGGAAAGGAAAAGCAGGCTCAGAGGAGGGGACTTTCCTGGAGAGGGTCAAGGGTAGCAAAAGGCAGGCAGGAGCCCTCTCCCACAGGAAGCCCCAGGAAGTTCATTGCTCTCCAGCCTCTCCGCAGCTGCTTCAGGCTGATACCCACATTTGTCTCTGTTATGCTATGTCTGCACTGTCTGGAGCTGAGTCTCTGGCACTTTCTCGGGGTATATCTGGCACTGCGTCTCTGTCAGTTTTTCTGGCTGTGTGTCTGGCTGTTTCTCTGGCAGTCTTTATAACGGTGTCTCTGGCAGTGTGTCTGACTGTGTGTCTGACAGTGTCTCTGGCAGTGTTTGGAGTGGTGTGGATACTTCCTGACTGAGCATCTGGCTGTGGCTCTGGCTCTTCTCTCAAGCTGTTTTTCTGGGTGTACGCCTGTTTGCGTCTATCAGTTTCTCTGGTATTTCTCTGCTTGTGTGTCAGACGGTTTCTCTGGCACTGTTTCTGACAGTGTCTTAGCTCTCTGGCTTTGTCGCCGACGGCTTCACTGCCTGTGCTCCTTGCTCGTCCTTCGGCAGTGTATCTGCCTGGGTCTAGCTGAGTCCTTTACAGTGTTTCTGGTGGGTCCTTTGATTGTGTCGCTGTTCTCTGACCACCTCTCTGGCTGGTTATCTGGTTTCATCTACCTGTCTCTTTGGCTTTGTCTGATGGTCCTTCTAACAGTCTCTGGTGTATCTTCCACTGTGTGTGGAGCTGTTTCTTTGGGGTTCTGTCTGGTGGTTTGGGGCAGTGTCCCCGGCCAGCATCTTTGCTGTGTGGCTGGCTGGAATCTCGGAGAGTGGCCCTGGTTGAGTGTCTGGTAGCATCCCTCAGTATTTCTCTGGATCTTTGCTTCTGTGTGGTTGATAGTTCTCTCTCTTCAGACTGAAGGTCAGGGGGTTTGTTACATTTGCAGCCCATTCTGCAGGAAATAATTATTTCCCTGCCATCAAGTGTAGGTGTGTGCTGGGGGAGGGGGAGAGAATAGTTGGACTCATCTCAGGAAGCAGGACACCAGGTTGGGGGGCACTGGATCCATCCTGGCTTCTGGGGCCATGTCCTGAGTGCATCCTGTGTACTTGCATGGGTGCATGTGGACACTGATGCACGCCTACTGGGCTGGGGGTCCCAGGCTCCTAGGGGCACATGGCTGGGGTCAAGGGTGGGCCGGGGTTCCTGACAAGGACTTACATATTAAAATCCTTCATTTTCTCTTGATCATTGGTGTACAATTACGGAAAAGCCACATCTGACCTGGGTCATGTCCCACTGCCCTGACTCGACTGCTCTGAGCTTCTCAGGGCCCAGTGGCAAGGCTCACCACAGGGGTGTCGGGGACAGATGACGGATCTGAGGGGCTCCCGAGCATCCAGGTTTCAGGCTCTCTCCCCAGGAGCACAGCAGGGGGCCTGCCATTCAAAGCAATCTGGAGAAGTACAGACCTCCAATTGAGTTAAAACATTACCCTTTCAGTTTATGATGTTTATAGCTAATTAGCTAACCTCACCAGTAAAGTTATTTTTTTTTTTAGAAAAATGGCCCTGGCATTACCAATATTCTGTAACTCATTTGCAGTTGACAACATTGTGTAGCCACTAGTCTTATCGAACAGCAAACCACCATAGGTTGCCTTCTACCATCTTAGCAAACCTTTGCCTACAGATGCCAATAATGTTGCTTTCTGTTGCCTGAAAGAAGATCTTGAGCCCCATTAAGAAGGGCATTTTGGGGTCAAGATGCTCTCACCTTAAACCAGGCTTCCTAAGCTCCCTGCCTGCATGATTCCCACCTCCTACTCCGTGTCAGTCGGGTTGGGTGAAAGCAGAGCGGGTGAGGGCCTCTCCAGGGCCCTAGGGCTGGGATTTCCCAGTCTTGCCTGAGAACAGGAGGGGCTCCCCAGGACAGTCCTGCCTGGGCTGATGCTGACCCCTCCCCCACCCCGGTTTCTCCCAACAGATGGCTGCTCCTGTCCCGTGGGCCTGCTGTGCTGTGCTTGCCGCCGCCGCCGCAGTTGTCTACGCCCAGAGACACAGTCCACAGGGTGAGTGCTCACGGGAGCCGCCTGCTGACCCCCCTCTCAGAGCTGGGCATGAACCCTCACTGGCATAGCTGCATCCTGACACTACCCAAGAGTCACACACTGGCATTGTCACACATGACCACCCAGAGGGACATGGAGTCATGTGACACTGATATGCACAGTCCTCCACACTCACACTAGGGTGGTCGAATGCTGACGGTGTCTCTGGCTTGAGATGATCTGTCTTCTTACTAGGGTGGCATAGGGTACAGGCAGGTGGGATGGGAGTTGACGGGGGAGGCTGGGGCGGGACCTGTATATTGTATCTGGGTGAAAGGGGATCTCTCGGAGATTTGTGGGGTGCAGTTGGAGGCACCGATTGGAGACAGTGGGCAAGACTGCAGGTCACCTTCTACCCTCAGCTTCATCCCAGACGGAGGATGGGGACAGAGAAGGTGGACTGAGAATGAGACGAAGGGACAGGCTAACATGCGGGAGAGAGCCAGTGCACTAAGGAAGGGACAGGTTAATCAGCTGGAATGGCCACACGGGGGAGGGACAGCTCAGGGCTCGGCCATTGGCAGCCTCCCTGCCCTCCCTTTACCTATTTCTCCAGTGAGGGGCAAGGCCTGCCCACAGCCCACAGGACAAGGAGCGGTGTTAACAGAGGCCCTCTTAACTTGGCCACCTGCCCCTCTACTGCACTTGAGGCAGCACCTCAAACAGCAACATCAGCCCGAGGTCTGAACTCAAAACTCACCTTGAACCAGGCTTCCTAAGCTCCCTGCCTGCATGATTCCCACCTCCTACTCCGTGTCAGTCGGGTTGGGTGAAAGCAGAGAGGGTGAGGGCCTCTCCAGGGACCAGGCATGGAGCAGACCCTGGTGGCTGGGCTCTGCCACCCTCAAGGCTGTGGGTAGTGAGTCGAGGCTTATATGGCCTCTTCTTTATGAGATCATCAGTGAGACCCGGAGAGATCCTGGCCAGCCCCAGGGGCATTGACTGGGCATCCCTAGGGCCTGCCAGTGGTCTCTACCTTGTGTCCCCATGGTCCTGGACATAAGGCCACCTCTCTGAGAGTGTGAAACTGTGTTCTTGTGAGGGTGAGAGTGTGTCCCTGTTTGAGTGCATTTCTCTGTGTGGCTGTATCCTTGTGGACTGTTCCTCACGTGTGACATTGTCTGTCTATGTCACCTTGCCTGTCTGCATGCCCTTTGTGGGGCTGTATCCTTGTGTTTGAGACTGTACCCCACATGTAATTGTGTCTCTCTGTTTCTCTTTGTGTGTTTGTATTAAACTGTCTCCCTGTGTCCCTGGGCATAACTGCTGTGCCTTTAGGTGATGGTGCCCTTCTTGTACGTGTACATGTGATCTCGTATCAGGTGTTACCATCCCTGAAGTGAGACAGTGTCCCTGTGTGACTGTGAACTTGTGTGTGACTGTGGCCTTGTGGATGACTGTCCTGCATGTCCTTCTTCTTTAGGGGTGACTGCCCTTGTTCCTTTGTGTGTGGCAAAGTGAAGTTGCTTTGGGATGCCCGGGGGGACTGTTTCTGACATGTGGTCCCCCTGTGAGCCTGTGTGTGCAGGTGTGAGGGAGCCGTCAGCTCTGTCCCTCTGTGTTCTCCATGTCCATGACCTCATCCCGTCTCTGTCTCTCATCCTGGCTTCTAACAACCTTTTCACAGCTGATTCCTTTGGAGCATTTGTCACCGCTTCAGGGCCAAGAACCCCAATCCTCCCCCTGCTGCTTGATTTAATTTCTGAAATGGACAGCACATCAGTAGGGGCACCCACGGGGCGGGAGCAGAGCTGTCCAGAGACAAAAGATTAAATCACTGCCATCTTTGGAGCAGTTGCATGGCTGCGTGTATTGCCATTGTTGTGTTATTGTAGCAGTTGTGACACTGTGTGCTTGTCATGTCCTCTTACCCCTCCACCTCTCCACTGTGGCCTGTCGTTGTCTTCTGCCATTGTGTTGTCATTTTTTCGTTCTGCCCTGCCTTTACATCATCGGTCTGTCATTATTGTCAGGTTGCGTTTCTACTTTTTTTGTGCAGCAGACAAGGTGTGGTGGGGAGGTGTTATCCCATAGCCATTGTATGTAATGTGTTGTTCGGTTGCTGTGTCCTCGTGTGGTGGCCGTACCTGCTCCCCAGGATTAAGGGCCACACTGGGTCCACGTTAGCGTTGAGCTGCCTGGTCAGTGTTGATGTGTTGCTGCTGGGACCATGATGGCCACGCCCCCTCCCCAAAGGTCAGTTTTCAGCCTCCTCCTCAGGCAGCTGGATGCAAAGTCTCTGCTAGGGGGTGCAGAGAGAGGGGCTTGGCATGTTTCCTGGAAGCTCCAGGTTTTTGGAAGGGAGGCTGGAGGGGGGCTCAGTGGCTGGAGCTGGTGGACTGTTGGGGGCGCTCAGTGGCCGGAGTCTTGGACACTGGGCCTCTGGTCAGGGGGAGGCCCCTGTTTAGTGTCTGGTCCAGCCTCACAGCTGTGGCCTCCAAGGCCCCCAGCCACCGCCCTTCCGCCCGTTCATCGTCTGTTCGGCTGGTCCCAGGCTCCACAGATGAGTGGTCAGGGCTGGCTGGGTTTCCTGCTTCCTTCTTCTCTGACAGGGACAGAGAGGGGCAGGATAGAGATAGGCAGCGAGGGAGAGAGACCCGGAGTCACAGAGAGACCCTGGCACAGCGAGGACGACAGAGGCAGCAAACCGGGACAGATGTTCCAGTGCAGAGCAAAGCAGGGCTGAGGAGGGGGCTGCAATGGGAGGAGGGGGTGGCCAGTGGGTCCAAGGGGGATCCCTACACCCCTGCAGTCTTGGTGGTGTTAACAAGCCTAATTAAGAGGCCACTGGCCCAACTTAATTGGCTCGTTAACAGGAATTGCCTCTAAAAATCCCCCAACTCAGCAGGGTGGCTCTCTGGAGGGGAGATGTAAGCGAGTGTTAACGAGGGATCCCGCAGCCCCCCACCCCAACTGCTGCCCTCTCCCCCTTCCCTTCTCCTCTCCCACCCTCACTCCGCAGATCTGGCCAAGACCTGGGAAGTGTCTGTCTCTCAGGCTCAGCGGGTAGGATGAGAAGGGGGTGTCCTGAGATTCCCATCTCCCTATCTCTGTGTGCCTGCATCTTAAATCTGTCTCTCTGCCCTGATCGCTTCCCCCACTTCGTGCTGCCTGTCGACAGGTGCTCGCCTCCACCCTTCCATTTCCAGTCTCCTGGGCTCTGTCCATCACGCCTGGGTTGCTGAAGGCAGGGCTGGGGTTTGCTTTTGGCTCTGACAGGCCGCTCCTGGGGGTAGGAGAGGAATGGTCAGAGTGCTCACTCCATCCCAGCAGCACCGCACCCCCCAAGCCCCCAACCTGCCCTAAGTAGTTCCTGCCTTGTGAACTTGACAGCTGCCAGGAGTTCCCTAGGGTTCCCTGCTGCCCATTCTCCCTTCTCCTGCTGCTGCCTGAGCCCTGGATGGCTGAGGGGCGGGTTGTTGTGGGGTGGCAGGCTGGGAAGGCAGAGGAAAGGGAGAGAGACAGGAAGAGAGATGGGGGAGGTGGGGGGTAGAGACAGGACAGAAAGAGACAAGGATGGGGTGGGGAAGAGAAAGAGATAAGGAGACCGAAAAAGGAGTCCAGGAGTGGGGCCCCTCAATGCCAGCTTGCCTGGGTAATAATGGACGTCAGTAACTGGGCTGGGCCTGTGGGTGGCAAGAGATCCGGGTCATGGGGGTCAGGAAACTTTAAAAAACCCAGGGACTGGAGAGGAACTGGGTTTTCTCTGAGAACTGACCCCTCTCAGCACTATGCAAACTCTCTGTCACATGCAAACACACACACACAGAAGATCGCCCATTCACATACCTAGCCCCTGTACATGCTCACTCACATTCACATTTGGAGACATTCATATACCCACACACTTGCACAGGCATAGAGGAGCTTTGAACACTCTTCATCTCCCCAAACACTCACACAGACACCGAGCCTCTCGTCCTCACTCATCCATCCTCACAGGCTCTTGTCTGAGCACGCTCGCCTGCGGGTGCTGGGCCGGGCTGTGACCTGTGACTTTTGCCCTGTGCCCCCACCCCCCACAGAGGCACCCCATGTGCAGTACGAGCGCCTGGGCTCTGACGTGACACTGCCATGTGGGACAGCAAACTGGGATGCTGCGGTGACGTGGCGGGTAAATGGGACAGACCTGGCCCCTGACCTGCTCAACGGCTCTCAGCTGGTGCTCCATGGCCTGGAACTGGGCCACAGTGGCCTCTACGCCTGCTTCCACCGTGACTCCTGGCACCTGCGCCACCAAGTCCTGCTGCATGTGGGCTGTAAGTGTTGCCCCCACCCCTCATCCAGCCTCCCTCCTTCCTTGAGACCCAGACTCCTAGCCCAGATCAAGTCCCCTTCCTGTTAGGGGGACATGGAGAGGGGAGAGCTGCAGCCTGACCCTTGCCCTCTGATTTTGTCCTGGCCCGCTCTTCTGGCCTCTGAGCCCAGTCTTACCCACTGAGTCCAGACCCCTAGACAATTTGCCCACACATCCCACCCCCGTGGAGGTCTTGGGTATCCTAAAACCCTATTCCCTCTGACAACATAGGCAGAGAGCTGGTAAGGCATGGCTCACCTGGGACATGAGTGGGGAGAGACCCTCAGGTCACGGATCTGAGCTGGAGGAGCCTCACTGTGTCTGCTCCCACAAGGGCTAGTCAGAGGGCCTCAGGGAGGGAAGTGGGATATGTGGTTATGCAGGTACAGGCAAGGCGCTCCAGGAGGCCCCAGGGAAGGAGGAAGGCATCCTGGAGTGGGAAGCGAATGGAGACTTGGGAAGCGAACGGTGATTTAGAAGACGCATTGAAACATCATTTCTGGCAGAGAGCTGGGTGTGACCGTAGGCCTCAGCGGCTGGGAGGGCATGTAAAGGCCACTTGGGCTGGTGTTGATGTGGAGAGGGAGCTGAAGGAAGGGACGGGGGGCAGATCATGATCCTGCAAGCTGGGCAGTGACATCTTCTGGGTCATGTTCTTAAAAGATCACTCTGAGTGGAGGGAGGCAGGTTGGATGGAGAAAAACCAAGGTAGGAAGGAGACTGTTACTGGATGCAGGAGAGAGGATGAGGACCTGGGACCAGGGCATGGAGCTGGGGAAGCTGAGAAGGCGCAGTTGGACGTCGAAGAATTGGTGATGGATTGGAGGTGGGAAGGACAGGAGAGTAGAAGGTGGGAGGAGTCAAGACAGCTGGAGGAATCCATGACTGCAACAGGAAGAAAACGGAAGGAAAAGATAATGTGTGCTGTTTGAACAGTGTCTTAGTTTGGGTTTCCCTAGAATCAGATCCCAAGATGAGAATTCTTATGCAAGTAGTTTGTTTGGCAGGTGAAGGAAATACCGTGAAGGAATGGGAAAGTGACACACAAAAAGGAAGTTAGGTTAGTCAGTAAAGAGTGAGTTATCCAGACATTGCCTCTTGGCGACTGAGGTTAACCACCGAAGGTGCAGATGCAGAACGTGCACCTGAGTTGCCCTGCCTGAGGGTGAGGGAGCTGGGATGTGTATACACTAGCTCCTGCCCATCAGTGGTTGAGAGATTCACCTGGGGTGGGAGGGAGGCTCTTTGATTCCCCAGCACTTTTGCCCTGATGTCCCAGCAGGCAAAGCAAAAGAAAGCTCTTAGGCGAATAACTGCAGAATTTGGGAGTGAGAAGTATTAATAGTATGGGCAAGGGATCGGCGGCTCCCTAGACATCTGCTGCAGACCTGTTCAGTGGGATCCTTGGAGGACAACCGGGAGTTGATGGCTGGTAACCAGTGGGTCTGAGCGTCTGGGATTCGGGGAGAGGCCTCTGCTGGAGATGGATATTTGTGGGGGGTTGTCAGCATTAAGGCCATGGGAGGGTGTGAGATGGCCAAGGGAGAGATCATGGAGTGAAGAGAGAAGAGGACCCAGAATTGAGCCCTAAAGACCATCAGCATTTAAAGAGGTCGATGGAGGGAAATGAGCCACAAAAAGAAATAAGAAGGAGCCAGCAAGAAGGTAGAGGGAAGACCAGGTGAGTGTGATTTGGAAGAGGGATTTTGAGAAGTCAGAATGACAAGGCCATCACCATTGCTGAGGGTGAGGTGGGCAGGCATCCAGATCCCAGCTGGAGGTACCCACCAACAGAGTGAATACTCTGAACATAGTTCCATTTCTTCATTTCTTTTCTCCTGAGCCAATGATTCAAGCTCCTCTGGCCTCATTTTATTTGGGTATGGTTCACCCCACTGCCCAAAAGTCGTCTCCTTATTCCGTAGAAGCTACCTAGCAGATGTTTAAGGGATCTGGGAGCAGACACTTGCCTCGCTGTCAGAAGACTGGTGTAGAACACTGTGTAAAATGTTAGGCTGAAGGGTTGTTCAGGGTCTTCCACAAAAACGCTGACCCACCAGTAGGGCTTAAAGAGGTGTGAAAATGTATTTTGGTGGGAATGTACCTTTCCCCATGGGAAGGCCTTTTTTTTGGTTATTGTTTAATGTGTCTAAACTGAAGAGATGGCGTTCAAAACCCAACATTTTAGTTGCAAGCCATGGGTGGAGTGACCCCTGTTGGCCAGCTTGAGAAATGCAGGACCAGCCTAACAGAATTCTCCTTGGCGCACTATGGGGTCCATCAGAAGTGGAGCACTCAGCCTAGCCCCAGGCCCTTTCAGAGGGAAAAGGGCCATTTACTGAGTGCCATGGAAAAAGGATGAACCCAACTTGGCACCGGTCACCCACATCCCTGTCTTCTCAGTTTGGGCCCAGAAGTCCTCAGGATGGACAAGACTGACTGTGATGGCTGGGCCTTGATGACCCTGGACCCCCATTCTTGATGATGTGATCTTCTTTGAGAGGTCGTTGGAGGGGAATTGGGTCTTGAAGTAATGTCCATAGTCTATACCCACGGGACATGCCCACAGCTGCCCTGTTGTGACCAGGGCCCAGACCTTTTATATAGAGTGCTCACTGCCCTCCAGGCCCTGCTGCCAGATGAAGGCTGGCCATGAGTTGGCTGTAGCATTAGTTTCAGGTACTTATCTCTCATTGCATTATTTCCTTCTAAAGACCTGGTCAGAGGAACAGGGGATATTAATCATTATCGTCTCAGTCACTTTATATTAGTAACAAGAGACTGGCTTTGGCAACACTCAGTATCAAATTATCCTTCCTGCCAGCTCTCAGAGAACAGGACAGAGTTACCCCTGATTTGTGGGTCATTCAAACCAAAAATTATTTAATATTTATCCCAAACACATGCAATTTGTCTCTATTTACAAGGGAACTTGGTCTTAACAGTATTCTGTTGGAAGTCTCCTTAACCAGGCTAATCCCTGAACTGCTTTCTCCTGATCCACCTTCTTGCTCTCAAGTGGATCCTCACGAGCAGAGCCCTAAGGACTCCTCTCCTCCCTAGGATGACGGAAGGACCCCCCACATTAGGAAGCAGGATCACAGTGTTGCTTTTAGTAGCATCTTTTTATTTACAAGACACTGCTGATTCTGTATCGTTCTGATCTTAAGCTAAAACAAACCAGAGATTAAAATGATTTTTAAATGGACAGTTCCTTCTCCAGTTTTTTAAAACTTTTATTTGATTGGTTAGGATGGAAGCTCTGGGTCCCCTGGTTCAGCACTGCTTTCCCTGCAGCCCTGTTTGGCTGGAAAGGAAAGAGTGAGGAGAGGGCTATGGTCAAAGAAGACGTCTGGGGAGAAATCACAAGTGGGAGGTCGCCGGGGCATTTGGGAGTCCAGAAGTTGGAATGCCTCAAGGGATGCCACGAGATAAGGCTGAGCCAGGCCTGAGCCTTGAGTGCCAGGCAGGAGGCGGCGTGTGGGTGGGGCGTGGGTAGGGCTGGAGTGGAAGGGTCACCCTGCCCCACCCTGCCTGATCTGGCCTGGCCTAGGGTGTGGGCAGCTTGCCCCTCCTCCTGTCTGGGCCGGCGGGCAGGCCTCATGCGTGCCGGGGGCTCCAGCCCAGGCAGGCTGGCGAGATGAGAGGAAAAACATGCGGTTTGGTGGGCTGGACATGGAAAAACAAGCCAATTAGGAGGAAAACAAACAAACCCTGGGCCAGTGGGGGCACACGCACACATACACACGCGCACACAGCCCCGCGTGGGACCCAGGGACACCCTGCCACAGGCTGACAGTCACTTGGGTGTCTCAAGAGCCCCCACAAGGGGCAACCCAGATGCCGTGTATGCCCAGAGCCTGATACTGTGACCTGTGTGCATAAGAGCATTTGCTCACACACTCTCTTTAACATGCACTCACACGGTGTTCAGTTCATACGTGTGAACATGCTGTGAATTCTGGGCACCCTCCCACATGCACAGTTTGCAAAATACATTCAGCCTCACTATGCTCCATCACATATGCACTGCCTCATGTATGAGCTCTAGCTGTCACTGTGTTCAGACACAATGGCACACTTACAGGCACTCTAACAGAGTACCTTGGCCACACAGCCTAGCACATAGAGACAGTCTCGAGATTGAACAGCCTCACCCTGAGTCACGTGCAAACACAGTCATCCAGTCCCACACAGCCTCCCATCCTACAGTTACACAACTGCCCAGAGTCTCACAGCCACACACATGGAGCCTCACAGTTACACACAGCCTTGCAATCACAGCGTCTTAAAAACAGCTTTTCCTCCAACTCACAACACACTCACAACAGGCATCCTGATCTCACACTGTCCTACAATCTCACAGCACCCCCACCTCCGCCCACCCGGCCCCTCAGCTGGGCTCCAGCTGCAGCAAGTCACTCCTTTTCTTCCTTTTGTTTTTCTTTCCTCCTTTTCCCTCTGAGAAACCTGGTCCCTGTCAGGAAACCCAAGCCCTTCCCTGCTCAGGGCCCAGGGCCAGGCAGGAGTAGCCAGATGACAGACAAAGCCTCCAGTCAGCCCCCCAACCCCCACCCCACCATGACCTCCCCAGTCAGGGAGAGGAACTGGCGTGAGGGGGAGGTTGGAAGGGGACGCGGTCTGAGGGGGGAGGACAGTCGGGGAGTGGGGGAGCCTGGTCAGTGGGGAGGCTGGCCAGGGGTGGGGGCCTGTGAGTACAGTGCCGTGGCCCGCTCTGCCCTCCGAGGAGTCCGGGGCAGCAGGGAGCGGACTCTGCACACTCCGATCCCCACCCCACCCCCAGCGGTGGCAGGAGCGGGGAGTGGAGGCTTCTCGGCCGACCTCGGAATGTCCTTTCCTCCTGGGGTGGCTGCCAACTCTGGCTTGGCCAACAGGCCCCCAGAAGGCACTTCCTGTGTCCTTGGCCGCCCCCCACCCCACCCCCAGGCAGAGTTCTGCACCCGTGGGCAGACAGGGAAGAGACACTAAAGGCACACAGGATGAACATGGAACGACATGAGATGGACGCAGGGCCCGGAAGGCTTCCCAAGGGAGGCACACAGTGGAAGGCAGAATGCAGGTTGGCCCTGTGGGGTCTCAGCTGGACCCCGCTTTCCCTGACAGGCCTGGGGAATGGAGCTGCCTCCGCCCACAGCATTGCACCCTCCACCTGGTGCCCTGGAGTTCTGATGCCTCTCTGCCCCCTCATCTCTTCTGCTGCAAAGCTAGATCTGGATCCTGGGGGTTCTGCCCCAGGCCCCTCCCAGCATCACACATACTGGACACGCACACGCAATCACACAGAGTCACTCACAGTCACGTGCACACTGTGGATGGAAGCCCACTGTTCCCCTGTGTCACCATGGCCACTCTACAAGCATAGACATGCACTCCCCTTCACTGTCCCTGGCTTATTGCGCTGCCCCCCTCCCATTTCCTGTCCACCTGTCAGGCCGGGGGCGGGGGAGGGGGGAGGCACAGGAGGGAGGTGTCAGTGTCCCTGGAGCCGCAGATGGACATTCCTTGCTCGGGTCAGATCACATAAGCTGCCTCCTTCCAGGAACCTGAGCCGCCTGTCCTCACGCCTTACCCAATGCCTGAGGGTGGGACAGCTGGGCTAAGTGCTCACGGCAGCAAAAAAGAGTGCGGGCTAGACAGCAGAAAGGACTTCCCAAGTGTGTGTGTATAGGGTTACCCCTGTCCTGGGGTTTAGCTCTGGCTTACTGTCTGACCTTGAGAGGTCCTTATCCCTCTCTGGGCCTTCCTATTCCAGAGTGAGGGCAGCTGCTTACCATGTAAAGGGCTTCTTAAAGGGTCTGCGATGGAGATGCTGGGGGCTGGCACTAAGGTGAGGTACACACAAAGGGAACAGCAGCTTCCTTTCAACAGGCACTTGTACACACACACAATCATACATAGACATGCAGATTCACACACATCCGCATAGCTGCTCCTACGGATCCCTGGTCACTCATTCATGTCACATAGAGACATGCATGTAGCACGTATACCCCTGCATGCAGACATCTACAAACACAGATACGCATACAAACAGCTGCCCAGTGCTGTTCCTGTGTAGCCACCAGGCCTGTCCTCGTGTCTCTGTCTCTACTGAGGGAAGTCTGGGGTGTCTCTTCTCTAGGAAGTGCACCCGATACTCCAGCAGTCGGAGGACCCATTCAAGACTCCCCTCGTCTCTGCAGCACAGTCTTCCTCTGGGAGTGGACACAAAGTGGCAGGAGATGTGGGGCTGGGGCCGATTCCCCCAGACATCACCTCCATCCTGTGATTGATGAGTTGAGGCCCGCAGCCCCCTGCTCCCCACGGTTCCTGCCTCCATTGAGCAGGTGGAGGGGGGGTTCCGTGTCCGCACAGCCCTTGTTTTTCTTTAATTAAACATCTGGCTCTTGTGGCCTGGGAAGCCTCAGACCCTCGCTGACAGCCTCCCCGCCACAACTTTGGCATCAATGATGGGTTGAGGGGGGAGAGCTGGGGCTCTGGGGCCCACCTGTCCCCATACAGTGCAGGGGACTGGGAGCTCCAAGAATGCCCTGACCATACTGTCCTCACCCCCAGTGCCGCCGCGGGAGCCTGTGCTCAGCTGCCGCTCCAACACTTACCCCAAGGGCTTCTACTGCAGCTGGCATCTGCCCACCCCCACCTACATTCCCAACACCTTCAATGTGACTGTGCTGTGAGTAGCTGCGCCTGTGACCCGGGTCCAGCCCTGACCTCTGACCTCTCCCCCATCCCACCACCATGCCCTCTGTCCATACCCCAGCCCTGCCTTGGGCTTGACCTTTCCTCAACCTCTGCCCCACCTGACCCTTGATGTTCGTAACAGTGCCTGGGTCTCACCTCTCCCCAGGCATGGCTCCAAAATTATGGTCTGTGAGAAGGACCCAGCCCTCAAGAACCGCTGCCACATTCGCTACATGCACCTGTTCTCCACCATCAAGTACAAGGTCTCCATAAGTGTCAGCAATGCCCTGGGCCACAATGCCACAGCTATCACCTTTGACGAGTTCACCATTGGTACGTGTGGCGGTTGGGGGGACCTGCTGCCTACTCCAGTGGGAATGTAAGTGGATGTGTGCCATTGGTGGGGATGTCCACATGCATGCACATGTATACATGGCATGTACATGCCTCTGCACAGGTATGTACAGTGCACATATATGTGCACATATATGCATGACATATACACCTGTGAACGTGTAAGTGAATGTCCTTTACCTGAAGGGCCGAGAGACCTGTCCAGCAGCTCTTTCGATCATTTTTCTGGCTCCCAGAACATGCAGCAGGGGGAAGGGGGGGCAGGCTGGGCCAGACCCTTGTGCAGCTGCAGCCTCCACCGCACCCCCCCCCAACTCTAATGGCTTCCTTACGGACTGTGATGAATGAGGTGTCAGAACAGGAGACAGGACTGGGACAGATACTGCCCTCCCCCTGACCCCCCCCATCCCAGCCAGACCCTCTACCTGCCCCTGCCCTATTCCAGGCAGGCTCTCTGCCTGCTATTCCCCCGCCCCAGCCAGACCTTCTGCCTGCCCCTGTCTTCTCCCCAGACCCCATGGCTGGATCCCTAGACAGAGTATTTCTACATAAGCTGGGCCCTTAGGCGCGCTCATCAGATCCCCAGCCTACCTCCAGATCTGCAACACCTGTGGACTGTCTTTTACCCTTGACCCAGGTCTTAGTTTGGAACTGGAAAAGTTGAAGTGAAAAACCAGGCTTGGGGGAATGTGTGATGCTGGTGTAGGAGGGGGTAGTCCAGGTGACAGTGGGGGTGACAGTGGTAACTATGGAGGCATCATATTGTCTTAGTTACTGGGATGCAGGTCAGTATGAGGATAGGGTTGGGATGATGGGATGATGAGATGAAATTTGGAATGTTGATATTAAGAGTTGGTGACAGTGACTGTAGTGACAGTCATTAGTGATGATGGGGATATCAGACTTGGAACTAATGAGATAGTTGTCTATGGTAGTTATCAGAATTGACAACAGAGAAGAGGCACGCTGACTATGATGTTGATGACAATGGTTGGCAATATGAGAGGGTCAACATGGTGGCTGGAGTTGACAAAGTGGGTTGTTGCCAGTGATTAGTGTAGTAATGAAGCTATGTCTCCTGAACAGTGAAGCCTGATCCTCCAGAAAATGTGGTAGCCCGGCCAGTGCCCAGCAACCCTCGCCGGCTGGAGGTGACGTGGCAGACCCCCTCGACCTGGCCTGACCCTGAGTCTTTTCCTCTCAAGTTCTTTCTGCGCTACCGACCCCTCATCCTGGACCAGTGGCAGCATGTGAGTGCCCTGCCCGGCCAAGATCCTGGGTGCCTGAGTTAGAATCATGTGCAGTGAGTGGCACCCATATCCCACGTGGCAGCAGCTCCAGTGTGAGACCTGATGCATCAGGCTCTCTGCGGGGAAAAGGGACAGGTGGGCCTGGGAGAATGGATGGAGCTGAGGCAGGTGTCCTTAGGGGTTCCCAGTGACCCCTGTTAGTGCAGCGGGAACACATATGTCTTTCTGTGGCTCCCTGGGGTCGTGGAGAGAAATGCAGGGAGGGAGATGGTGAGGGAGGGAGATGGCGGGGGAGGGAGATGGTGGGGGAGGGAGATGGCGGGGGAGGGAGATGGCAGGGGAGGGAGATGGCGGGGGAGGGAGATGGCGGGCAGGACAGGCAAGGCTCCCTTTCCTTACCTCGCTCTCAGCCCTGACCAGGCATCTCCCTCTTTACACTCTGGCCCAGGCTCTGGGCTTGTGCTGGCCCCAAGGGACAGGAACGTGCCTGTCCTCAAGGGCTCACAGATGGGCCCAAGGGGTCAGGATCAGGCAGTGGGGTCAAGCCTGGTCCAGCATGTGAGTTTAGGCCCTGACTGGCATCAGGACTCCAAAGTCAGACCCAGCTTAGGGGTCAGCTTGAGGCTGTGAGTCGGAAGGTAGCCTGGCTGGGAACCAAGCAGTGGACAAGGGTCAGTATGGGGTCAGACTATGGTCTGGATCAAGCTACAATAGAGAGCTCTGGGGAACAGCCAGAGGTCTGGGGCAGACTTCGGGTTCTCTTGCTTTGAGGGCCCTGGGCCCATAGGGTCGTGGGCACT